>NC_000003.12:167341937-167493452 GCF_000001405.40 Homo sapiens | reverse complement strand
GAAACTATCCACAGGGAGGTGCTGTTTCTCAGAACTCACTGCAGAACCAATAAGAGGGTACAGGGAAGGCTGTTCACAGGGAAGAGTCACACAGTTGGCCTCTTGCTTGCCAAGGATATTATGGAAAACCGTTCATGGAGTGGTATCAGATAGGTGGCATACTGCTGACAGGGGAAACTGCTAGCTCTGGGTTCTGGAGAAGCCTTACCTGCATTGCAGGAGTCTGGTGTTGGAAAAATCACTGCGAGAGCTTGGTACTGGAGAAGTCATGCTATAAGAGCCTAGTGCTGGAGAAACTGCAGGGCAGGATTCTTGGGAGAGGAGCACAGAGAACCTGGAACTTGGAAAAGAAATCCATTTCTCCTCCAGTGTCTCTCCATTACTCTTTAGTGACAGAGCTCAACATCATGACAGCTAGCAAAGGAGACATATTGTAGGCTTGATTCTGTCAGCACAGAGCAGGCATCAAAAAGCTTGGGCAATACATTGATAACGGACATAGTCTCATCTTATCCGCCTCTCCATGCTTGTTCTCCACTCCTGGTCCTTCTACGTCATGTTGGGACCTTCAAAATTACAGTTTTATACCCGATAAGTTATGAGGTGATAATGGATGTCTTTTGGGGTGGGGGTGGGAATTACAATTTATAAAGAGAATAAGCCATGGAAACGATAAATGTATAAAGATGAAATTTTAAGCATAAGACTGGTTTCAAAACAAGGTTCTACTACTTGCTAGCTTTGTAAACTTAAGCAATTCGAGTAAACATTCTGTGCCTTAGTTTCCTCAACTGAAAATAGGCTTCATCTTAGTTATCATCATAATGTTTCTGTGAACATTAAATGATATAACCCATGTGAAGCCCTAAGCACAGTGCCTGATACCCAGTAAGACTTTGATACATTTTATTTATTGGTAATGCCCTGTATTATTATTCCACTAAAGAGTTCTACAATGTGGGACTTACTATTCCCCACATTTTCTATATAAAGAATTTGTGGCATAAAGAATTTAAATAATTGACCTAAGTTCACATAGATAGTAAAGGTAGAGCCTAGATGGGAATGCTGAAAAACTGACTCAGGTGTTTATGCTATTAATATTTCAAAATTCAGCCTCCCCTGTTCAAATAGTATTCAAATCAAATTCCCTGGTAGCTTATTCTTGCTCTTATTTCTAAAACCAGTCATTTTACTGTATTACCTATTTTTATTATTTTCATTTAAAATTGTTCCTCTCCTTTTCAGAAGGATACTGATGAATTTAAAAATTGTTATTATAAAATAACACTTAAAAAAAAAAAAAACTTCAATTACCAATATATTTCTCCTGCACACTATCATTGCAGAGGCTACCTTACGTCTTTGCACTGCATTTTTTCCACTTTGCTGCAATCTCCGTAATTACCTCGTGCATAGGTTTTTGGCAGTTGTACAATGAGAGGCATTTTGCTAGTCTCACTTTCAATGTCCTAAACTCTCACTTTGGAACTTGGGACAGTTTTCAAACACTTTAAAATCCCCAGGTGATGTTTTAGCCATACCTGCTGGGTTTTTTATGTCCTTTTGTATTCTGTTTCTTTCCCTTTCAACTTGAAACATCTTTCTTCACACTTTCCCTTTAGCTTTCAAGTTGCTCCCAGTTGGTTCTTAAACAGCTTGAAACCCCTCTTTGATATGCCTTATTCAAAATCCTGGAAGCTACTTAGAACTGCCTCTGAGTCAGGTTTTGCCAATAAATTCCCCAGAACCCATTCACATTGTATCTGTAAAATCTTTAAAACTTGAAACAGTGTGGAGAAAATGCTCTATTAATGATACCTCAGGTGACTTGTTTTGTTGTAGCTGTTGCTCTGTGAAAGACAAAATGTACGAAACAATTAAAGAGATGGTTTTATTCAGCCTACTGCAATACGGAGAAAGTTCATTAAACAGGAACATCTCAAAGAAAAGAAAAGAGGTCTGAGCTTTTGTAGAGGTAGGTAGATGAGGAAGTCATCTGTGATTCTTATAGGACTCAAGAGGAAGGAAAGAGAGGGTCCTGGAATATATGAGAGGAGAGGAGTCCTTTGTGGTTAGCTGTTTCTAGAACATGAAAATGTAGAGAGATTTCTTAAATGTCTTCACTTTCCAGGAGCACTGGACTGAGGTAAAGTTCAGCATCGCCAGTCTCATCCCCCTTGTGTTTAAGAAAAATGAATATCACTCATTGCTGAACAACCTAAAAGTGATTCTAAAGCTCCCGGGTGGGGCAAAGCAGAGTCTCAGAAATAGTCTCTCAGGGGTTCTTGTTGATGTTGCTCCTACAAAACCACTTGAATTTATATTGCCAGGTGGTGGCAAAGGTCAGCTGTTTTGAAGTCCCAACGATCCTGGGAGAAAGGGACAGCTGCAAGGCAACCAAAAGTCTGTATAGGGATCTGGGATGTCAGGTTTTAATTCTTGGTAATGTCCTTAGGTGGGAGGGAGAAAAACTGAAAATGTTAATTTGGAAAGTTGTAGTTAAATGTTGAAAAAAAACACATAAGATTGAAAAGTTTGGAGAGTTGACAATTTGTGCAAGGTAGCAGACCAGTCCAATTTGCAAGTAGATCCCGAAAGTGGTGTTTCCAAGGAGAAGAGGAAGTCAAATCTCTAGCAGATAAAACAAAGTTTGCATATCCGTCAGTGGCTTGCAATTGAAAAGAGGGGCAAAAATAGTTCAAAAACAGTGAACTCAACTAGAATCTAACAACCCAGAAGGGTGTGCTGGAGACAATACATAGTGTTTTATTGAAACACACAATGTTTCACATTAGCCCTTAAGCTACAGGTCAAAAATATACACATAAGCTTTTATTAAAATCTTTGTTTTAGAGTATAATTTTAAATCTAGCACCGGTAAAGAAAAATAATCTTTGATATCATATAAAAGTTCTTACTTGAACAAATAATTAAAATGTAGGAAGAAAGCATTTGTAGATACATGCATTGACTATATGATAAATGAGAGATTGCTACACATGGCTCACCTCAGGACCTTTTGGATACTAAACATCCAGAATGAACAGAAAACTCAGGGGCATTTTAAAAAGTAGAAATCCTTCCTATTGCTCTACATTTTTATTTACATAACACTAAATTATCTCAAAATTCACAAATACAACACACACAGACCAAAATTTTGGGTCTATAAAACAGAAGTCATTAATATGTGAACAACATATTTAAAAGGTTCAACAGGTCCCAAGCAACCATTATTTGAGAGTCATATGAAAACTATTAAAGTATTTTGATTAATCATCACCACTCTTTCTCACCAACCCGTTGCTTTGTTGCCTGTTTGTTACTGGATGGTGGCTGAAATAAAAGGACATTTGACAATACTCACCTAGAGCTTAGATTTAGAAATCAGAAGCTTGACCTCAAGATGTGGGCAGTGGATAGCAGCATGGGCATCACCAGGGAGCTCCTTAGAAATGCAGCATCTCAGGACCCACCCCAGATCTGTTGCATGGGAATTTGTATTTTAATGAGAACTCCAGGTGATTCTTATGCACATATAAGTTTGATAAATAAGAATTTGTCTAGAAGACGCAAAATAGGACACAGAATAGGAGGAAGAATGTGAATTAGAAAGGAGTTTTCAGAATGCTGTACACTCATAGACAGGTAGTCATTGCATAGTACATTACATAGCTGCCAAGTCCTTTGTTGCCAGGGTATCTTTGTGAGTTTTGCCACTGTTGTTCAGCTGATATAGTTAGTTGCCAATTAGCAGGCAAGGGAAAGACCAGAAGACAATATATAAACCAATTCTTCTATGTTAAGATCCTTGAATCATTTTATTATAGAAAAAATGTTTTGGATACTTTCCTGACCACCACATCTTTCCTTTTCATCACTGTGAAAACAGCTTTTGGCTATCATTATAATAAACCTTGTCAGGCAGCCAACTATAAAGTGAAGTGATGAGTGTATAAATGTCATATTTTCCCAGGTAGGGAATAGTGAATGTAAGTGGTTACTGATAACACTAGATGTTAATTTTTAAGAACTTGGTTGTGGTTAAATGGATGTATATGTATATATGTGACATGGAGAATCACCCTTTTATGAATATTATAGGGTCCCCAGGTCTCTGGAATGCAGGGATTCCAAAGGGTGAGGAGTGAGCCAACCCCTTTGCATGCCTGAAAGTTCCTTCATTCATGTGCTCATATATTCAACAAATATACATTTTGAGTCCCTTTTCCATGAGCCAGATACAATGCTGGGTGCTAGGGATATATGGTATACAAAGGCAAACAAAGTCTACTGCTGCTGAATTTATTGTCTAGGAAGAGAGATAGGTAATAATAAGTAGATAAATAGTTAAAGATGATAAGTTTGGAGAATGATATTGATAAGAGCTAAGAAGAAAATACAACAAGATAATATAATAAGGTGACATTAGGAAGAACATCAGTGAAGGTCTCTCTGACATTTAAGCTAAATCCTAAGGTAGAAAGTTCTACAAAGATGTTGGGGCAGAATGTCCCAAGCACAGGAAACAAGTATAAAACCACTGGGAACAAAATTGACATGTTCCAGGGACAGAAAAGAGGTCACCATTGCTAGAATGGAGTGAGGAGACTGGTATCAGATGAGATTAGAGGGGGCTCAGGGGTCATGTCATGTGGGACCATGTTGCCTGGGCAAAAAATTTGGTTTAAGTATAAAGGGAAGCCTTCAGAGGATTTAAAGAGGAATGTGACCTGATTCATCTAGACACTGGCTGTTTCTCACTAATCTGAGCAAACTACTGTCCAGGATTCTAAATAAGTTATGTGGCCAGGGAGGCAAGAAGTTGGAGGCTTGAGGTTCCTAAGCTTGTGATCATATGGGAACTTGAGGGTGCTTTAAGATAAGCTTTGTATTTATTTATTTACTTTATTTTTTACTTTTTAAAAATTTCAGCTTTTATTTTAGATACAGGGAACACATGTGCAGGTTTGGTAAATGGGTATATTGCACCCAGGTAATGAGTGTAGTACCCAATAGGTAGTTTTGCAAACCATGCCCCTCACTCCATCCCTGTTCTAGTAGTCCATAGTGACTGTTTTTATCATATTTACATCCATGTGTGCTCAGTGTTTAACCCTTAATTATAAGTGAGAACATGTGGTATTTGGCTTTCTGTTCCTGCATTAATTTGCTTAGGATTTTATCCTACAGCTTCATCAGTATTGCTGCAAAAGACATGATTTCATATTTTTTATGGTTGCATAGTATTCCATGGTGTGTGTGTGTGTGTGTGTGTGTGTGTGTGTGTGTGTGTGTGTGTGTTTGAGTGTATCACATTTTCTTTATCCAATCCATCATTGATGAGTACCTAAGTTGATTACATGTCTTTGCTATTGTGAATAGCATGGTGATAACACATGAATGCATTTTCCTTTTGGTGTATTTCCAGTAGTGAGATTTCTGGGTCAAGTGGTAGCTCTGTTTTAAGTTATTTAAGAAATCTCCAAACAGCTTTCCACAGTGGCTGAACTAATTTACCTTCCTACCAATGGTGTATAAGCCTTCCCTTTTCTGCACAGCCTTGCAAGAATCTGTTGTTTTTTGACTTAATAATAGCCATTTTGACTGGTGTGAGAAGGTATTTTATTGTGGTTTTGATTTGCTTTTCTCTGATGATTAGTGATGATGAGTAATTTTCATATGTTTCTTGGCCACTTGTATGTCTTCTTTTGGGACGTGTCCATTCATGTTCTTTGCCCATTTTTTGATAGTGTTGTTTTATGCTTGCTGATTTAAGTTTTTCTTTTAATAGATGCTGGATGTCAAATCTTTGTCAGATGAATAGTTTGTGAATATTTTCTCCCGTTCTGTACGTTGTCTGTTTACTCTGTTGATGGTTTGTTTTGCTGTGATGAAGCTTTTTTATTTAATTAGGTTCCATTTATCAACTTTTGTTCTTGTTACCGTTGCTTTTGGGGGCTTAGCCAAAAATTCTTTGCCAAGGCTGATGTCAGGAAGGGTATATCCTAGATTTTCTTCCAGAATTTTTCCAGTTTGGGGTCTTATATTTAAATCTTTAATTCAACCTTAGTTAATTTTTGTATATGTTGAAAGATAAGGGTCCAGTTTCAATTGTCTGCATATGGTTAGCCAGTTATCTCAGCACCATTTATTGAACACAGAGTCCTTTTTCCATTGGTTGTTTTTGTAGGCCTTATTGAAGATCAGATGGTTGTAGGTACACAGCTTTATTTTTGAGATTTTTATTCTTTTCCATTGGTGTATGTGTTTGTTTTTGTGTCAGTACCATGCTGTTTTGGTTACTGTGGCCTTATAGTATAGTTTGAAGTCAGGTAATGTGATGCCTCTAGCTTTGTTCTTTTTGCTTAGGATTCCTTCAGCTATTTGGGCTCTTTATTTTTGGTCCAATGTGAATTTTAGAATAGTTTTTCCTAATTCTGAAATGAATGACATTTATTGTTTTGTGAGAAAGCATGTGGTTGATCTTAGAATATGTTCTGTGTGAAGATGAGAAGAATATATATTCTGTTGGTTGTTCCATGGGGTGTTCTATAGTTGTCAATTAGGTCCAATTGATCAAGTGTAGAGTTTAAGCCTAGAGTTTCTTTGTTAGTTTTCTGCCTTGAAGATCTGTTTAATGTTGTCAGTGGGGTATTGAAGTCTGTCAGTATTATTGTGTGGTTGTCTAAATTTTTTTCATAGGCCAAGAACTTGTTTTATGAATCTCGATGCTCCAATGATTGGTATGTGTCTATTTAGGATAGTTAAATCTTCTTGTTGGATTATATGCATATGCCCTTCTTAATTTTTATTTGTTTAAAATCTGTTTTATCTGATTTAAGAATAGGGACCCCTGCTCTTTTTTGTTTTCTGTTTCAATGGGACAACTTTGTCTATTTCTTTACTGTGAGGCTGTAGGCATTGTTACATGTGAGATGGGTCTCTTGAAGACAGCAGATGGTTGGGTCTTTTTTTTGTAACCAGCATGCCGCCTTATGTCTTTTAAGTAAGGTGTTTAGCCCATTTACATTCAGGGTTAGTACTTGTATGTGAGATTTTGATCCTGTCATTATGTTCTTAGCTGGTTGTTATGTAGACTTGATTGTATAGTTGCTTTATAGTGAACTGTGGGCTATGCACTTAAGTGTGTTTTTGTGGTAGTAGGTGTTGCTCTTTTGGTTCTATATTTAGGATGCCTTTAAGAGACTCTTGTAATTACGGCTGATCACATTGAAATAAATTCCCTCAACATTTGCTTGTCTGAGAAAGATTTTATTTATCTTTCACTTATGAATCTTGGTGTGGAGGGATATGAAATTATTGGATGGAATTTTTCTTCTTTAAGTATGTTGAAAATAGGTCTCCAATCTCTTTTGGCTTGTAAGGATTCTTCTGAGAAGTCTACTGCTAGCCTGATGTGGTCTCTCTGTATGTGACTTGACCATTCTTTCTAACTGCCTTTTTTTTTTCTTTTGCATTGACCTTGGTGAATCTGCTAACTATGTGCCTTGGGGATGGCCCTCTTTTATAGTATCTTTCCAGGGTTCTTTGTATTTCTTGGATTTGTGTGTCAACCACTCTAGCAACATTGGGGAAATATTTGTGGACTATATCCTCAAATATATTTTCCAAGTTGCTTATTTTCTCTCCTCTCAGGATTATCAGTGAGTCCTAGATTTGGTCTCTTTATATAATCTCATAGTTTTCAGAGGTTTTGTTCCTTTTATAAAAATTCTATTTTTGTCTGACTGAGTTGATTTGAAGAACCAGTCTTTGAGTGCTGAGGTTTTTCCTCAGCTTGGTCTATTCAGCTGTTAAAACTTCTAATTGTATTATAAAATCCTTGTAGTAAATTTTTAAGTTCTAGAAGTTCATTTGGGTTCTTAAAATAGCTATTTAATATTTCAGCTCTTGGATCATTTTATTGGATTCCTTGGGTTCCTTGCATTGGGTTTCAGCTTTGTCCTAAATCTTGTTGTGCTTCCTTGCCATCCAGATGCTGAATTCTATGTCTAAGTTGTGTATTCAAGTATACATACATTTTCTTTTTTTTCAACTTTTATTTTTATTTATTTATTTTTATTTTTATTTACTTTGAGTTCTAGGATACATGTATAGAACGTGAAGGTTTTTTACATAGGTATCCATGTGCCATGGTGGTTTGCTGCACCTGTCAACCTATCATCTATGTTTTAAGCCCCACATGCATTAGGTATTTGTCCTAATGCTATCCCTCCCCTTCCCCCCAACCACCCAATAGACCCTGGTGTGTGATGTTCTCCACCCTGTGTCCATGTGTTCTCATTGTTCAACTCCGACTTATGAGTGAGAACATGTGGTGTTTGGTTTTCTGTTCCTGTGTTAGTTTGCTGAGAATGATGGCCTCCAGCTTCATCCATGTCCCTGCAAAGGACATGAACTCATTCTTTTTTATGGCTGCCTAGTATTCCATGGTGTAAATGTGCCACATTTTCTTTATCCAGTCTATCATTGATGGGCATTTGGGTTGGTTCCAAGTCTTTGCTATTGTGAACAGTGCAGCAATAAACATACGTGTGCATATGTCTTTATAGTAGAATGATTTATAGTCCTTTATGTACCCCAGTAATGGGATTGCTGAGTCAAATGGTATTTCTGGTTCATAATTTTTTTTTTTTACCCGTGGTATTCCACCATCTCCAGCCACAAACCACAGGAAATTTGACAAATCAGCCTGTTTGTTATAAAAAGAACACATCACTTTTTTTTTTTTTTTTTGCCATCATCCTGTGATAGTGTACTTCATGGAAAGTGTATCAATCAGAGGGGAACCAGGGAAGTAAAATCAGCAGGACTTCATATTGAGATTTATTACAAGAAGTTGACTTATGGGTTTGTTGGGCTGAGTGAGCAAGTTCAAAATATGTAGCACTAACTCAAGAAGAAAAGATCATGGCAGGCTCGGCACAGGCAGAAACTTTCATTGGTAGAATTTCTTCACTTATACATATATATATATTTTATTATACTTTAAGTTCTAGGGTACATGTGTACAACCTGCAGGTTTGTTACATATGAATACATGTGCCATGTTGGTGTGCTGCACCCATTAACTCATCATTTACATTAGGTATATCTCTTAATGCTATCCCTCCCCTGTCCCCTCACCCCACAACAGGCCCCAGTGTTAAGGCCTTTTATCTGATTAAGTCTGGCTCACCAGATAATCCGGGATAATCTCCCTTATCTAAAGTTCATTGATTAGGGACTTGAACTACATTTGCAAAATCCCTTCAAAGCAACACTTATATTAATATTTGACTTCATAACTGTGGACTTTACCCTAGGCAACTTAATACATCAAGAAAGTCATCACAGCAAGGTTAAGGACATTTTAAAAATAATTGTAAGCAAGTTCAATAAATGATTATTTCTTACATGTATTATGATCTACTGCATACTCTGTTGAGTATCATAAAAAATCATTATGCCATTAACTTAGCAGATGTTACTATGAATAGTGAGAAGAATTGATTACCATTACGCATTTAAAAGATGTTAAGTTAATGACATCATTTTTGCCACATATAGATTTACAAATGAAGCTAATGAAGGTTAGGTTTTCTGGGCCTCATCTATAAAGACCCTTTGAGTATTAGAAATTGCTAGGAGTTTGAGAGTGTTCTAGGTGAAGAGCAGAAGCAAGGTTACAAGCAACAATCATTTCCAGGTAAGCATTTCAGGTATCTTTTTAAAAAGAGATCTCAGGAGAAAAGGACCTAACTCTAAAAATTACTAGTAATTTGTTGAAATTTATTTTATCTTAAATAGCCACTTTTATAAATAAATTTATATTTGTAATTTTATATTCTGTTTTTCTAAAGAGAGCTACCAAAATTGTAACTTTCAGGCCCAAGAAACAGGGATCCACCCCTGCATATGTACTTTTTATAATCTGTTTGTTAACTAAAAAGAAAAAAAATTAAAAATGAGTCATCCAAGTGAGTTCGTCTCTCTTAATATCTTACAGACTTATCAGTTAGCTATTGGGTTAATGGCCTTGAAACCCAGTCAATTACAATGAAAATTTGTCGTCTAGTTGAGAGACAAATCTCAATAAAACAGAATTTCGGAAGTAACATTCTGGCTTTTACAATATATTTCAGAAGGGCTCAAAGGCATTCTGAATTGCTTGTGATTCTAAAGTGCTAATCTGCAGTCATATGGGACAGGATCAGCTGCTGATGTACAGTTATCCACATTATCTCATACTGCTGGTATTAGGCAAATGGAAAATACTATCTTTCATTTTATCTCTGCTTAATGCCAGTTGCAGATTTATTCATTTTCATCTTATTGCTCTAGTTCTTCATTTCTCTAAGACACTATTAGATGTATGCTCAGTAATGATAGAATGAACTTGTTTTCTCCTTCTCCTACCCCCCTTCTACCACACAATTTTATTCCATAACATGATTTTCTTTATGCTTACTTTTATTTTGTTAAATTTGCTTATACTGCTATTAGTTGATTTGTCAGTTTTCAGTGTTATTCTTTGTCTCTGATTTATCATAAACAAGGTTTCTTTCTCCTTTATGCTCACAATTTTTGTCAATTGTATCATTTATACATTGTCAGGCACATGGACTTTACCTTCTATTTTTGTCAGCCTTAACTCCACATTGTTTCCATTTTACTTCTGCACTTAAATACATTCAGTGATCACCAGCAAGTTATTTTTTTCAAAATTTTCTCTGTCATTTCTCAGTTTAGCTTTTTTTTTTTTTTTGAGACAGAGTCTCGTTCTGTCGCCCAGGCTGGAGTGCAATGGCACGATCTCAACTCACTGCAAGCTCTGCCTCCCGGGTTCACGCCATTCTCCTGCCTCAGCCTCCCGAGTAGCTGGGACCACAGGCGCCCACCACCAGGCCCGACTAATTTTTTGTATTTTTTTTTTTTTTTAGTAGAGACGGGGTTTCACCATGTTAGCCAGGATGGTCTGGATCTCCTGACCTCATGATCCGCCCGCCTCGGCCTCCCAAAGTGTTGGGATTACAGGCGTGAGTCACCACTCCTGGCCTCAGTTTAGCTTTTTGAAATTTCCTCAAAGAGGACTCTTGGGAACAATAATCCCTAAATTTCTTGCATATTGACACCATTTATAGTTTTTGGATTTGAAGGACAACTTGAATGTATGTAATATTCTTAGCTTACATATTCTTTCCCTGATTATCTTGTAGGCATTGCTCTACTCTTTTCTGGTGTTGGTCATTTCTATAAAATATCTAATGCAAGATACTTTTCTCCTTTTTAGGTGACTTGATTATTTTGTGTGGTTGCCAGAAGATTTCCTCTTTATCTCTAAAGTCTAATAACATTACTGGGATATCACTTGGTTTTGAGTATTCTAAGTCAATTATTCCTAGTACACAATGTGTCCTTTCAACATATGTCAGGTTGACTTTTATTTGAGGACCTTTATTAAATGATGCCTTTAAATATTTGTTATACTTTGGTTTTCTTTCTTAAGTACTGATATGGTTTGGCTGTATTCCCATTCAAATCTCAATTTGAATTGTATCTCCCAGAATTCCCATGTGCTGTGGGAGGGACCTAGGGGGAGGTAATTGAATCATGCGGGCCAGTCTTTCTCGTGCTATTCTCGTGATAGTGAATAACTTTCATGAGATCTGATGGGTTTATCAAGGGTTTCCACATTTGTTTCTTCCTCATTTCTCTCTTGCTGCTGCCATGTAAGAAGTGCTTTTTGCCTTCTGCCATGATTCTGAGACCTCCCCGGCCATGTGAAACTATTAAGTCCAATTAAAGCTTTTTTATCCCCAGTTTCGGGTGTGTCTTTATCAGCAGTGTGAAAGCGAATTAATACAAGTACCTACTCTAATTATATGTTTGTTGATCTATTTTTTGTCTGTCTTCAACATTTATTATTTTTCTAATTCATTCTGTTTATAATTTTCATTTTATTATATATTTTTTCTCATTTCTATATTCTAGGTTTCCTACTATGTTCCAGGAACTCTGTTCTCCCTTGTGATTTTTTCCCTCTTTTTCTGAGTTTTGCTACCTCATATTTCATCACTTCCTCTTGTGTCTTCATCTCCTCCCTTAGTTTTTTCACTTCTGCTCTGTGATCTTCCTTCATAGAGGCAACTGCTGTTTTAATTTTTAAAATTTAATTTTTGTCAAAATGCTTGGTAACAATGTTTGTGCAATGGCAATATTTTTTGGTGGTGGCTCATGTATTGATTAGTTTTGCTGCTCTTTCTTCAATTTGATTGGTTTTAGTTTTTGCTTATATAAGTTTGTGTTCATGCTGTGTTCATTTTAAAACTTTCCTCTTTTAATTAATTAGCTTTAATGAGGTGATTTTTTTTTTTTTTGCTTGAAATATGTGGTAAATCCTTGAGTAAGAGGCTGGGATGTGAGATCAGGGTATCCTTCAAGTTTTACAACCCATGGGGACAGACTGCTTTAGCAAAAAATGACTCATGTGTGTGATACAGGTAGCCCTGACTCATCTATTTCACCGATCCAAACCAGGTCCCAGAGAGCTTCTGCTTCCAACCATGTTCACCTCTTTTTAGCATCCATGTATATAAGGGATAAAGCATTTGTACTTCATGGTGAGCCTGTAACTCACAGTGACTATTTTTTTCCCAGCACATTCTAAGATGCTGCTGCTGGCCTTCGTATACTCTCTATACTTTTCACTTTTTCTTGGGCAACTTTTGTCCTATCTCAGCTGTTTTGCTTCTTTATATTTTGTAAGCTGCAGATTACATCTCTCTTTGAGTTTTGCTTAAAGTAGAATTTATTTGCAAAGTTATTATCTGTAATTTTCCTGGTTGCTTTCATATAATTTCCATGAGAAGAAGAGGAAAGATCTTGACTTTTGTAGCCAAGGTCTATATAACTTCCTCTCTACAGTATAGTTTACACTGGAAGTGGAAAGTTTTTGTTTCGTTTTGTGTTTAATCCAAATATATAAAGATGCCACTATACTGTAAAGTCATTCAATGTTTACTTTTTAATTTCATATGCTTTGGTTGGTGTTTAAAGTGTTCCTAGGTCCAGCTCCAAATTTATTCCACTTTACTTTCTTTCACATATTTTATGCTTCTTTTAAATTGTACTGAATTATTCAGAGTTATTCTAATAGTAGTTATTATTTTTCCTTTTTTTTTTTTTTTTTTTTTTTTAGACAGAGTCTCTCTCTGTTGCTTGGGCTGGAGTGCGATGGCTTGATCTCGGCTCACTGCAAACTCTGCCTCCTGGGTTCAAGCAATTCTCCTACCTCAGCCTCCCGAGTAGCTGGCCTCCCGAGTAGCTGAGATTACAGGCGCCTGCCACCATGCCTGGCTTATTTTTTTGTATTTTTGGTAGAGACGGGGTTTCACTAAATTGGCCAGGCTAGTCTCGAACTCCTGACCTCAGGCAATTCACCTGCCTCGGCCTCCCAAATTGCTGGGATTATAGGCGTGAGCCACCGTGCCCGGCCTTTTTTTCCATGCTTTATTCACCTTGTTTCCTCCAGTTGACACTTCCTATCCAACCCTTGCCAATTCTTCCCCACCTCCATGTTTCTTATTCTCAATTAAAGTCCTATCTGGAATTCAAGACCTACCTCAAATAAGTACCTAATTCTTAAAGCTTTTTAAAAAATCTTTATATATTGTTATAATATCTTTTACATGTTTATACACAGTTTGCATTGCTTATATTCTCTTGGAATGATATCTTATTGTATATGATGTTTTGGTTATTTGGGTACTGCTTCTAGTTTCCACCAATTGGAAGAAAGGTTGTGACTTAGTCATATTTGTGCCTCATTTATGCCTCAACACAGAACATTGTGTATAATAGACATTCAATAAGCATTTGTTTAAATAATAAAATTATGCAAAATGCCAAAATTATTTTCTAGAATGTATGGCACAATTTCCTCCTACTTCTCACTGATGCGCAATATAACCACTCATGGAAATAATTTGGTTCTTTTTTTTCCTAAAACTGCAAACCCCTATGGACGTGATTATAGATGCGCTTGTTTATTCATGCAGACAGTCAAACTGTGTTTTGACTATTTTAATTGCCTTATTTCAATACAGAATAATTTTTTCTTGGCTCTTTATGTCTTGATAGCTGTTAAGTAGATTAAAAAACAAAAATGGAAAACAGGAACTTCTATAATCCTCTACCCTTAGAATGGTGGATTTCTATTAAGATATATGCATTAAAAGAACAAACTCTACCAAAATTTAACTTTTAGATGTAAATTGCAGTAAACAGAATAGCAGAAGCTTAGAGAAAATTTTTCCAAATACACTCTGTGTTTTAGAAACAAAGATTTTTAGAAAAAGCAAAATTTGAGAATTTTCTCCCCACTATTTCATTTAAATAGGTCTCTTAACAAATATAATTCACTTGTGATTTTCCTCATCATTTTGTAGCTTTGAAAGCTGTATTTGATGAGAAAAACCTGTTTCCCAAGGAAATTCTGCATCATGAACGAAAAGCCAAGCAATTATGCCAAGAAAAAAGTTGTGAAGTGAAGAAAAATAAGAAGTAATTACAACAGAAAAACCTTCACTGTTACATAAGGTACAGATATAAAATGCAGAAAAAGCATCAAGAATTCTGCCTTTTATTTTATTTTATATTTAAACTTCAGGAAGTTTTCTCTTCATGGGATAATTTAGTACTGCTTTTATCTATCATCTGTCAATTTCTCTGTATTCTTAATAAAATAAATATTGAACTAAAGTGGGAGCAACATCTTGGTATTTATTCTCAAGGATTTTTATATAAAAACTTTATGATTCCAGAACAAAGTTCTAACCAGTTGCCCTTCTGGTTGTTCCTATAGACAAACACTTTTGATCAGTTTTCATTGTAAAACCTGCATTGAAATATATGAAAAGTACTGACGGAGTAAATATCTACAAATGTGAATAAGAAAACTGTTTCCACTTTTTTACACTTTCTAGTAGTTTTTAAATGATTCTCATAATGGTGATTAGACTTTGTCAATAGCACCACTTCCTGTTAATTCTTATTGGCTTTTATTCATTCTATAAACTTATTGGAAAATTACTGCATATGATCTACTTCAATAGTTTGTTATACTGTACTTTAAAATTGAATGCCATAGCACATTGAAGATGTAATAGTCTTGAAAAAAAATCAAAGGGCCTGGGGCTATATAAAGGACCCACTCTATGTGGAAAGTCAAGTGGGAAATATTTGGTTCTTTAACTTACTGCCTCTGTTTGTTGACCCATTTTTATTTACAAATATAATCATCTTCCAGGCAATATTATTATTCTGCTTTATTTATTGTGTCCTATAGAAAGAATTGGTAAATTCATTTACATAACTATAATGACTTACTGTATATTTATATTTTAAAGAGTGCTTTCAAAACCAGCTAAAGTTTAAGAAGAATTTTTCAATAACACATGTAGTAAAGGAAAATAATTTGCAATAGGTAGGGGACCACTTGGTATAGCAACTGCAAATGTCCATTGTGTTTAAACCACACAATAATCATATGAATATATTAGCTTAGAGCTAAAATATGAGATGCGAATCTATTAGGAGAGTGCTCAATTATCAATGGCAGAGTTGAGATTGGAACCCAGGTCTGTTTTACTCCCAAACCATGGTATTTGCCATTCATCATTCTGTACACTTGCTTCTTATTAGTATAAAGCCAATGGAATGAATTCTAACACTAGACTTTCCAGCACCAGTGGAGCAAATATTTTGGTTTGGTGGAGAAGGCGGTGATGGAAGGACTTTCAGAAGACAGCTGCCTATTCTAACTACATTTAAGTGTATTCTGAGTTAGGCATTATGACTTCTATTCATATCGCCTTTCCTCCTCATGGAATGAAAATTACATGCAGGAAAGATTGTAGGAGAAAAGTATATTTGTCTCTGTGTGTGTGTGCGTGTGTGTTTGTCTGTTGGGTGGTGTGATGATGTACAAGAAGTGTCCTTGTTTTAGAAAAATATAATAATAGAATGTTTAAGTATGATAGAAATTATGTTTTTAGCTTGCTATAAAATGATTCAGAAAATACTAATTATATGTATATATAAAATGTATATATATGCACACACAGGTAACACATATACATATCTATATTTACATCTGTTTGCTTATTGGGAGGATAGATACATAGATGAAACACACACATGCGGTAGATGCTAACAATTGGGGAAAGAGGAGGAGGTGGAGATAGCAGTTCTTTGAACTATATCTGCAACTTTTATGTAAATTTGAAAGTATTTCAAGGTAAATTTTTTTAAAATATAAAAAGTTGCTTTTGAACAAAAAGATTATTTGAGATGTTCAAGCAGACACTGGGTAACTGTCTCACGGGGATATTGCAAAGACTTCTTGCACTGGGTAGGAGGTTTGACTGGGTAATCCATCATTTCAAACTCAGAGCACATGATTTATGAATCATAGGTTGGTGATAGTACAATGGAGTGAAATCTGAGCCACATGCCCAGAAATTTAATGGAATGTTAAGATGTTATAAAAGTAGAATGCGGGTACCAAATAATTTGCAAAGGCTCTTTTCCCCACTGATCCGTCCATCCCTCATGTAAGTATTGAAGGCATGTATAAGAGATTATTTTAGGTTCCGGGTATTCACATATAAATAGAATGCACCTTTTCTACCCTCAGCGTTCTGAAGTGAAGCTATATAAAATGTAGTGGTTTATTAAGCCAATACTAAATGAGCCCACTGGCATAAGTTGGAAATTCATAATCTGGCATATTTTTTCCAGTCTAATTTGGGAATTCTTTTGCTAGATATACTTTACTGTTTACCCTTGAAGATAACTTTGTTTGATGTGATAGCCTGAGATAGTCTGGTTCATACAGACAGACCTTCTCTCTATAGCCTACTACATGTGCATGGTATTATGCTGTAACTCTAATTCCATCCTTAATTAACATCAGGGCTTCTTCTGTAAAAGGAATTAAGAAGAGCTGTCTCATAAATATATTCAATGAGAAGAGAACTTTTAAAGGTATGAGACTTTCAAGGTAACTGTTTCTAATAATTTGGAGAAAAAACACAAAAAGAAGAAAAAAGACAATGTCTTTTTTTCTGTGTCTTACTCTTCTTTTGTAACTCACAGCATCTAATTTTCTAGGCAGGTAGCAGGATCTCACCTGTCAACTCTTAACAGAACTGAAGGCATTATAAACTGTTTCTGAAATTAACATTCAGATTCAATTACTTATGATCCATTTTTCTGTGGTAAAAGGAATTGGTCACATTAAAATAGGATATGTCATAATTTTCAATAGGCTACCTTGTTTGTATTACTTATATTTACACTAAATATAATTTAACATTTTCTTTTGTCAGAACATTTTCCTATTATCACTCAAAATTTAGGAACAATCTTACCAAAAAAAATTGCCTGAAATGAGTCCATGCTTAAATGGAAGAATTAACTTTTAAGTTCTTTACTGATGAGGGCATTTGCTTATACATTTTTAAAGTTTGGAATTAAGTGCACTTTTACTTGAAAAAACTATAAAAGGATAAGAAAATTGATGAGATGATAACTGTAACCCTTTGCTGTGGTTTTTATATATATTCCTAGGCTTATACTTTACAGTCGGACAGTAATGGCGATCAACCTTCTACCAAGACACGTTGGCTCTCATTAATGAATAATTCTCCCCCCACCCCGATTTTCTAGGAGCAAAATAGAATTGTAGAAAAAAGCGGTTTGGGAAAATATTTTAAAAATTTGTGGTAATATTTTATGGACAATTGTATTGTCGTCATTGTCTATTAAAAGAGGTTAAACCAGGGAGAATAAATTTATGGCTATTGCTTTTTACTCCTCAAGAGACAGGAAAATGAACATTCTGCCTGAACTGCTCTAATATAAGGTCCTTACAGAACAATTTCATTAAATGGTCTTAGTAGGACAGAGTGACGGTCTCTGCCATTGGTAGGAAAAGTAATGGACTATTTCTGGATAAATCACATTGTGATCTGAGCAGTGTACAGACATAATGATGTGGTAGCCAAGGGTACTGGTGATATATGTTTGCTGGTGTCAGTAAATGGGTAGAAAAGCATTGATTGAATGATAGTCTTGACATTCAGACTTAATATTTATGTATTGCAGTGTGAAGCAAGTAGAATGATAGTATTCTTGTATTGCACAACTCTTTTTGGAAAATTATCTCTGTGTTAAGTTAAAGCTACACTAGAGTGTGCTTATGATAGAGTAGGTAATATTAGAATAAAACTCAAGATCTAGAAAACATTTGGAGATGCCTATATGGGAAATCAAAAAATTTTAGTTAATTAGTAGATTATGGCCTATAATGATCTATTCTCAGGCCTATTTTTAAGTTATAGCCATGTTAGGACATGGAAAGATGTTAACAGGGTCCTCTGACAAGTTTTTAAAAATGAATTCCATTTAAAGCTATCTATATTCACTTTATTTCTTTTACATGAGTTTATCAGAAATAGTATTAAATTTGGGGATCAACAGATATTTAATTAAAAGTGAACTAAATTTTTTTTCTCTTCTCAAAGGCTATAGATAAATAATACAATGTGCTTAATATCTGATTGCCATTGAGGTGATTGATTTGAACTACAAAAATGAGATGAAACCCATTAAATTATGCAATTTTTTATTAATGACCTTTTTGCAAAGAAAATCATGTAGAGTTTCAAAAGCACATAAAGGTAACAGCAATTTTTATCATCCAATTACCTATGGCTAATAGTATTGTCCTGATATATTTTGGCAAATCCATTATCTTTTTTGCTGGCCTTTCTGCTCAGAATAAAGAACATATTTCTTCAATATCCACTCTTTTTCTTAAGGATTCAAATGGACCTTATATCCACAGGAAACTCCTCTGACTATTGTATAATTTGATGAATGTTGAGAACTCTGTCAATGCAGCAGTGATTTGTCTCTGTATTCTGGACTTGATTTAGCTTTATTCTTTTTCTCATAGGCATTCTGAAATATTTATGACAAAGTGCATTGGTAATCTGATGTAGGAGTCCTGTGAGAAACAAAAAGAACTAATTACTAGCAAATTTACAACCAGTAGCGCATCCTTTCAAATTCTGTGCAACTTTTAAAAGAAGCAAAATAATGGATAAAATAATAATATAAATTTAATACTTTTAAAAAATTCTATAATTGTTTTTTTCTCAATTCTTGCACATTTCATCAGTTGATCATTAACCCGATTGTGTTAGTTCTTAATACAAATGTAGTGAACACCTGCTTTTGTTCTAGAGGAATTAATCAAGCAATGGTCAAGATAAATGGAGTTGGCCTTGATCGCTCAGGTGTTTATGTACAAGAGTTTTCCAGCAAGCGTATTTTAGTTGTAACATTCCAGTGAATAATCAGAAGTCAGTTTGGGGTAAGTACCTTAGAAATAAATAGCTTTTGAATAAGTATGTATGCAATAACATTGCCTATGAATGTTTAGTAGAGTATGGAATGGCATTTCAATTTACTTTGGTGTAAAAATCATTTGAATTTATTTAATTAACATATCGCTTTTATTCTCCTTAAATGATTTCACCACAAATCAGAAGATCCAGTTCTTATAGGACTATTCATCAGGTTGTTTAGTTCAGCATTACTTTGTGCTTTCTGATAAGATATGATCCAAAACCTGATGAGGTAAGTGAGTTTTTAAAACCAATATTTGTCTGAGGTTATAATTTATTAAGTGCTTAGAAATTTTCTAGAAAAAATGGATGTGGATGCTCAAATAATATAAATTTAATTATTAAGATTATTAATAATAATGAGAAGGAAACTCTAATACTGAGATTCTACCACAAAGAAAAAAATTACATTTTTAATAATACTGTTCATTATTCCAATATAAACCAAATACATAAAGCTATATCTAATGTATTTCCAGTTGATAACTTAAAGGTACTAATAACATTTTGACTACGTATCTACAAACACATATTTTGGTCAGAAGTCTTCTGAGAAATTGAATATATTAGAAGATAATGATACACAGACATTTATTTTGCATGTAAAACTTCTCTTACTCACTGGTTTTTAACTATTGTTGCACTCTCATTTATAAGCTCATATGCTAAATTAATCCCTAATGAAACATTTGCTTGATATTAATAGCATATAGGTCTATATCTAAAGTTTACCAACACATTTTCTAACAATTGCTTTGGATTGTTTTTTGAGGCTTTTGTCTTTTGCAAATATATATCTAAACAAATACAGTTTAACAAAATACATTGAAGGATAAATAATGACTCCATAGTTTAATTTGGAACAATATTTGACTATTAGTAATCTTTATATATAAATATAGTTGTTCTTAGGGACTCCTACCATTTATGGTACCCTTAATGATCTGCAAAACACTCTAGAAATGTAAGTCTCTACTTAAGGCTGACAACAGACTATTCTAAAGGCTTTCATCTTTACCCCTAATTAAGGGTTACTTCCTAGTAACTTACTGATGGATAAGTTTTTAAGGATTACTAACATGTATTATTTATAAGGTAAAATTATTGTTACTAAAATTTATGAGGCCTTGGAGTCAACATTCTACCAAATATGTGGTAATATTGCAAAACTAATTCTGCTTGAGATATAATCAAATGGTTGAATTTCCTGCAATTTTAGTGGAGAGCACTTTAATAGGGTATTATTAGTCTTGTGAATTGTTTATGGTTTTTAATTGCTGCTACTCTTACATTTGTTAGTATTTCTGTCAATTCTTTGATATTATATTTCATTTTATTTATATTTTTTCTTTTATAATTTCAAGTTTTATTACAGATTAATGTACATGTGCAGGTTTGCTACATGGGTATATGGCCTGACACTAAGGTTTGGGGTATAAATGATCTCATCACCCAGGTAGTGAGCATAGTACTTTATTGTATCATTTATATTTGATTGCCATTTTGTTTCAAACTTTGCAGGTTTTCTGCATTGTATTTGTCTTCTTTTGGAAAAGCAGGAAGAGGGCTTTGGGTTATTTTGTCCTAAGAAATAAAGCGTGAGGAAAATTGTAAAAAGTTAGCCAGATTACTCAGTTGCTTTAGAATACATTAATTTTCTAATATTATAGGTCTAAAACCACACTGGAGTAAGTCTGTTTTTATTCCATTTCTTCCTCTTGATCTATAAATTACTGTAGAGTAGACAGCACAGAAGGTTTACCTGATGTCAGAGTTACAGTTATCCCACTTAACCATGAGAAAAGATAGAAAAAAACTATTGTATAACTATTTGGAGATACCATTGCCATTGATAACATTCCAACATTGTAGTGTCTTTTTTGATTTTTGCTACAAAACTACAAGTATATTTTCTACTGGTTCTTGAAGATATGTAAGAAATACCATTAACACATGAACTATTTTTCTGAATAGATGATACTTAGAAATCTAATTGGATAGAGTTCACTTGTGGTAGTAAGTTCTATTAAGATAGAAAGCTACAACAGGTAGAAAGTTTTCTGTTGAGCTCTCTGTGGAAAACTCTATTTTGAAAATGAATATATTTTGATTTAAACAATACAGAGAAGTCAAAATGGACACAATCTTCTTGTGGAGTCTTCTATTGCTGTTTTTTGGAAGTCAAGCCTCAAGATGCTCAGCTCAAAAAAATACCGAATTTGCAGTGGATCTTTATCAAGAGGTTTCCTTATCTCATAAGGACAACATTATATTTTCACCCCTTGGAATAACTTTGGTTCTTGAGATGGTACAACTGGGAGCCAAAGGAAAAGCACAGCAGCAGATAAGACAAACTTTAAAACAACAGGAAACCTCAGCTGGTGAGACTCTTACATCTCCTTACTTATACTGGATAAGATATGGACGCATTCATTTTTTAATATTAGAAGTTCAGGATAAAGAAATTTTAATAAGTGAAAATGTAATGAAAAGTACAAAATTGTAATAAAATGGAGAATTGTAAATGTAATTTTCATTCATTTATAATTAATTCCTTTAAAAGGTTACAAAAATTATTAAGAAATTGACATCTATATAAATGTAAAATTAAGTAAATATTTGTACATTTTCTTTTAGTTTGTTTTAGCCAGTTTTAATTACTTGAGATTATACTGGGCGTGCATGTGTGTGTGTGTATGTACATACTCATAAAATATACATCTATACACATACATATTCTTCCACTATCACTATGTTGTGATCATTTTCCCATGTCATGGAACTGATTCAAAATATGATTTTTAATTACTGTATCTTATTGCCTCTTATAGAAGTACCATTACTTACTTAGCCTTTCTTCAGTAGGTTGTTTCCAACATTTCTCTTAAAAAAAATGCACCTCATCTGTAACGAGACCAAGAAAAAACATTAATTTGTTCATTTTAAAAGCTTATTTGTTACTAGTTTTAAAAGGAAAATGGAAAAAAAAGGATTTAAATAATCAGAGGCCTTTGTGCTTGTGAATGATGATTGTTTTGTTGGAGTCTCCTCATGGACTGTCTGGGATAGTGTCTATCCCTCTTACTGGGATACTGTGCTTTTGTGCTGGCATCCCATTTGAAAGAATTGTTGCTTGGCTGGTGTGGTGGCTCACACATGTAATCTCAGCACTTTGGGAGGCTGAGGCAGGTGGATCACTTGAGGTCAGGAGTTCGAGACCAGGCTGGAAAAATACAAAAATTTGCAAGGCATGGTGGCATGTGCCTATAGTCTCAGCTACTTGAGAGGCTAAGGCAGGAGAAGTGCTTGAACCCAAGAGGCAGAGGTTGCAGTGAGCTGAGATCGTGCCACTGCACTCCAGCCAGGGCAAAAGAACAGACTCCTTCTCCAAAAAAAAAAAAAAAAAAAAAAAAAAAAAGTTGTTGCTCATCTCCTCAGCTATCTCATGCTCTCAGTTTCTATAGTTGTTTTAATTTTCAGCTTTTGGATTACTCTGAGATACTGTGTTCTAAATACAGATTTTTGATTTGGGAATTTAGTTGCTACAACTATAATTTCAGTGTATTTTTCTTATCACAGAGTAGCAGTATTTAGAAATTTGCTTTCCTGAAAATACTATTTACAAGATTTTATTTGCTTCATTTTAAATAAAGACAATTTTATACAGAAAAGACGTTGGTAATAGTGAAGTGAAGTTAATTGTAAGAATTTTTCTTTGCAAATAGTGCACACTGAAGCCAATGTATTCCAGATTTAGTCTTGATTAATTTCAGCAAATCCCAATATACCACTCCCAGAAACGTTTAAACCACATGCTATAGCTTTGAAAAAGTAATACAATATTTGTGAAGATACATAAATTAGAGTCTCTGAAAACTTAAATTACTTTAAATGGATACATGATATAGAGAAACACAGAAGTTTTAACAGGTGTGAATTGTGAACATGATAAAGTAATAGTAATAACGCACTATCAAAAATATAGAAAGGATATCAGCCACTGTTTCATGTGCTTAATATATATTCTCTCATTTAATATTTATAATTACTTTGTTAAGTAAACAACCTTGTAATAAACCTGAGAAAACTGAGGCAAAGAAAGGTTAAATAATTTGCTCAGTGCTAATTCCTAAAATAATTCAGTGAGGATTAAGAATATAAGAGCAATATATTCTCACTAATATATTAATAAGAATATTAATTCTCATATATTATGTAAGGCTCTCAGTGTCCTCAGTTCTCCTTCTTTACTTCATTGTCAAAACATCTGCTCTGAATTTACCTCCTCCATTTTGCTGAACATCTGTTAATACTCCCTTTTGCTTTACCTCTGATAATGCTGATGACGAATCAAAGGCTAAATTCAATGTGCTTCTTTTTTCCACAGGGTTTTGAAAAGAGAACTGGGCATGAATTCCTGTCCCAGTTCTGCAACTAAATGACCTTGTGATTTGGCACAAGTCATGTCACTTGTGAAGCTTCTTAATCTCTCTGGGCCTCAGATTCCTCACTGTAAAAAGAAAAGTTGAGGTTAGGTAATTTATTTGGACCTTTTGGCTGAAATAATCTATAATTCTACGACTACGTTTGTTTTCATCTTTGGATCTCCCATATGCACACAAAATTGGCTTTTAGACTTTTACTAGCAGAAGAGAACATGCACTGAATTTTAGAACATTTTCTGGAGGTCTGGTACAATCAAATCAAGAGCCACATTCACCCATGA
Organism: Homo sapiens; assembly: GCF_000001405.40. Taxonomy (NCBI): domain Eukaryota; kingdom Metazoa; phylum Chordata; class Mammalia; order Primates; family Hominidae; genus Homo; species Homo sapiens. The sequence continues at coordinate 167,469,242 of NC_000003.12, read as the reverse complement.
CCTGTGGGTTATCCATGGCTCTATTTTAGAAAATGAAATAAACTTGTTGTCATTACTTATTAGGAGATATATAATTTTTGATCTGTGCTAAAAATGTCATTAATCTAGAAACGAAATAAAATTTATAGGGCAGATAATGTTATATTCTTCTCCAAACTTGTACTACTTAGTGACATTTTTTTCATTGACTTCTGAGTTCAACAGTTTATCAAAGGGCAGCTGTTTGTCACATAGACTTAGACCTTAAGTACATGACATAAATCTATTTGCTTTGACAAATGATTTGGAACTACTTTTTCTCCCTTTCTCTCTTTTTTTATTCCTTTAAAGATGTTCATGTATTTCAGATTTCTGAAAATTAGTTTCAGATTCTGTCACTTCATTTCTGACCTTAATTAATTCTTTTGGAAAAGCTCTCGTGTCTTTACTCAGAAAGCCTTTTCTGTAGCCTCCCAGCTATTGAGATATTTGTTTCAGGCTTCAGATAGCAATAAATGGTTACATCTGAAATCATTGTACAAATAAGTAAAATGGCTTAACTTTCTTCCCTTCCTTATGTAAGGAATTTCAGGGTTATAAAGAATTACTGAAATTCTTCAGATCTAATCATATGGAAGTAAGTTTTTTTTATATCTGAAATTGTTTATACCTGTATCTATATACCAGTGAACAGAGAATCCTGGAGTTTGAAATATAATGCAGTATACTTCATAGAGCCTCCTGTGAGGCTGTGAGAACGCCAGGCCAAAAAGGCAAGTAGGGACTGAAATGTAGCCTCTGTAACCCAGCTGGACAAGATGAGAGGCCATGGAGCTGCCCAGCCCCCAGAGAGGGAACTATTTTTATTTGCACAAAGATGACCTATGGGCTGCTAGCTTTCTGATTTAAAAAAAAAAATGTATTTACACAAGCTTAGGTACACACACACACACATCCTCCTTATTTCCAGTAGAAATCTAGTAGTAAGTCCCTCTTAGTAATACCCGGTTTTCTTGAATAAAGATTAATTGAATATATCAATTTTAGGTTATGAAAGTGGCATTTGCAGTATTTAACTGAAAATATAATGAAGGCCCAGAAAGAACCTATTTGAAATAGAGTTACAAGACTTAATGATTGAGTTCTAAGATTAAGCCAGAAGGAAATGAAAACTGTTGGTACACTTTTGCAATGAACAGGAAGCTATTGAACCTAATATCAGGGTAGAGTTCTCTCATACGCATATATAGCTTCCAGACAACACTACAGTCAGAACAGTCCAAAAATAAATAATAGGCCGAAAGTGATTCTTTTAGTTGACCCTGACTGACTTATTTTGGCTAGTGGTTAGAGTTAAAATGGTTAAAGATTTTTATTGTTGATGTCGACAGCCAAAGTATATAAATTCATGAACTTGTAGAAATAGGCAATTCTGATTCTTACGCATCTCTAGAGATGATTACAGAGGTTGCCTTGTAAAATTTAAAACCTGTACAGGTGCAGTTGCTTATAAGAGAACAATTTTTTCTTCAGCTGAAATAAAAGTAATATTGAAAAGGATTGCTCATCACTGTCATGCCCCCATCAGCATTCATTAGCATTCCCTTTTCATAGGTATCACATGCTCACGTTATGCAAATAAGATTCTAAACATAAATTTCAATAACTAAAAATGCGCTAAATGTGACTATCAAGAGGGACTTTCCTTCAGCTTCTATAAATGCATATTCTTTTTTTTGACAAATTTCAAATTTGCATGGACATTCTTTTTTCTATATAAAAGATGATTTCTCTACAAAATGCATATTCTACAGGAGATACATCCTTAAAATATTTATACTAACTTTGAAGGGATTGTTAGTTATACCTAAGGGTGCAAAAAACGGTGATATGAATCAGAGTACTTAGATAGCAAAGCTGAAAAGCTGTTGTTTTTATGTTGTTCAATATGCCAATATACATTAAAATTATTTTCTAGGGGAAGAATTTTTTGTACTGAAGTCATTTTTCTCTGCCATCTCAGAGAAAAAACAAGAATTTACATTTAATCTTGCCAATGCCCTCTACCTTCAAGAAGGATTCACTGTGAAAGAACAGTATCTCCATGGCAACAAGGAATTTTTTCAGAGTGCTATAAAACTGGTGGATTTTCAAGATGCAAAGGCTTGTGCAGAGATGATAAGTACCTGGGTAGAAAGAAAAACAGATGGTAAAGTTTCCCATTTTCATAAAATTATTATTTGCCATTGTATTCATGGTTTTTAATATCCTAAAGTAAAGAATGGCTGAATATTTTCCTACTGCAGTATGGATCAGAGGAATCAAATATCCTATTTCATTTCATAGTTATTTAAATTAATATTAAATTGTAAAACTGGAAAGAAATTATAAGCTGCTTTGAAAAGAATACTGATTCTTTTATTTTCTTTTGAGAGATACCTGCTTATAGAATTTTTAATGAAATAATTTTAATAATAATTTTTGTTAAAACATAGATTTTTCAGGCATAAAAGCAGAAATAATCTCTTTGGCCAGGTAGAAGTTAAATCTGTCAATCCCAAATGCCTTCTTTCCCACAGATGCTGAAAATGATTATCATATTTTAGTTGAATGTGTTAATATTTAATAATAAATGTTAATATTTCTATCATAAACATGGTAGTCTACACTTTAAATGCAAGCTAGCAAAAAATTTCATAGTTGACTACAGAGGGATATAGTAAATTCAAATTCATATAAATCTGAGTTGAAATCTTAGAAAGTTATAAGCTATGCTCCATTTAAAATGAGGATATTATTAAAACATTTCAGAATTCTTTGGAGTTTTAATAATAATGTATGTGAAGTGACAAGCATATACCAAGCCCTCAATTAATAGTACTTTGTTTCTTTATTTAATCAGCTATGAAAAATGTGATGTTATAAGACATATGCCTTATAGGAAGCCTTATATGGGGAAGCATAAGTTGAAAGTGTGAGATAAGCGTGGTGAGCCATGTTCACAGCTGTAGGAAATGAGGACATCACTAGACAGCTCCATGGCACCCAGTCATGCCTATTTCTCATAACTTGGAAAAACTCACTGGACATAGAAATAGGAGACCAGTTATTTGGAGGAAAAGGATCATACTAGTATCCTCCATTCTTTTCCCTTTCCAATGGTCAGTGGACACAGCTGTCAGAATGGCAAGTTTGGGTGTACCATTAACTTACTTATGATGACTGACATTTTAGAAGACCTTGAAATAGATGGAATAATACCAGTAAATATGGAAGAAGTAATATTTTTATTCTTTATGTCTGACATACAATGGTTACAAATGATCTTATTGGAGAGTCTAGGTATATCTGAGTTTGCCTAAAACAGTCTCATATTTCTAATTTCGTAGTGAAATTCCATTTGCACCTGTTTCTTCATGAAATATTTAACAGCAATCCCGTCTATTCTCAAAATTACCATATTTAGATGATAACATGCCCTATCCAAAACTGATCTGCAAAAGACACTTTTGCTTTAATTCTATTCAAAGCAATTCCACTGAATCACTATTGCACATTTCTTCTTACCTCCTCCTCCACCCACTTCCTAGGAAAAATTAAAGACATGTTTTCAGGGGAAGAATTTGGCCCTCTGACTCGGCTTGTCCTGGTGAATGCTATTTATTTCAAAGGAGATTGGAAACAGAAATTCAGAAAAGAGGACACACAGCTGATAAATTTTACTAAGAAAAATGGTTCAACTGTCAAAATTCCAATGATGAAGGCTCTTCTGAGAACAAAATATGGTAATGTGAGAAACCACAGTTCCTAAGCATAGTCTTGAGAATTGCCAAGTATATTTGATATTTTATTTTGTCTATTCCAGGTTATTTTTCTGAATCTTCCCTGAACTACCAAGTTTTAGAATTGTCTTACAAAGGTGATGAATTTAGCTTAATTATCATACTTCCTGCAGAAGGTATGGATATAGAAGAAGTGGAAAAACTAATTACTGCTCAACAAATCCTAAAATGGCTCTCTGAGATGCAAGAAGAGGAAGTAGAAATAAGCCTCCCTAGGTTGGTGATGTTATTTTATTATACGAGTTCTTACGTTTCCACTCACATAGGAATTTGAGCAGTCAGCTGAAAGGTAACAAATACTTGAAAAGTCTATTGACACAAATGAAAATACAAATGTATTTGGAAATTTTACTCTACTTTTGGATACTAAAGCAGGGCTTACCTGTGCTAGCATTGCTTTACCATGAGAAGAACTGAATTTAAGTGCTTAGTTTTCTCTGTAAAAGATAAGTATATGTCTTAAAATTAGAATGTTGGGATTAGAAGGAATTATTGTCTTTTTATTATGCTAATTTTCTCCACTTTTTTCCTGACTGGAATTTTTAATATTTATCTCTTATTAAGAAAAAAATAATTATAATGGTATGTTTTACACAATTGAAAGATATGTTATATCACTTTGACGGACAGTGCTCTAACAATCATTGAATTATAAACAGAATCCTATAGTCAATTTTAGGTAGTTAGTACAAAATGGAAATTGAAAGGGTTATCTCAGGAAGCAATAATTATGAACTAAATTTTTAACATCATGCTCCTAAGGGACAGAAGAAACTTCAAAAAGAAAGGTGTGCCCAAATGACTCAATTCACACTCTACCCAAACTTATAAAAAGAGATTTATGTGTAATAGATTATATACTGTCGTTTTATTTCTAAATTTCCTTTCAAACTCATCAAGCCCCAACTGTTTTGTGCTCCCCTGTTTCTGGCCATTGGTCTCTTAAACCTCTTGGTTTTTACTTCCTTTTCCACTCAGCCAGGATCTAGTCATTAGTTATTTCAGTCATAGTCTCATTAACATTTTTAATGTTTTTGTCTCCTTTATCCCTTTCCTAATTCTCTTCTCAACTATCCTCAATTCTGAGTCCACTCAACAAGCCACTCCTGGCCAGGCATGGTGGCTCATGACTGTAATCACAGCACTTTGGGAGGCTGAGGCGGGCAGATCATCTGAGGTCAGGAGTTCGAGTCCAGACTGGCTAATGTGGTGAAATTCTGTCTTTACTAAAAACACCAAAATTAGCTGGGCATGGTGGCAGGTGCCTGTAATCCCAGCTACTTGGGAGGCTGAGGCAAGAGAATCAGTTGAACCTGGGAGGTAGAGGTTTGCAGTGAGCTGAGACTGCGCCACTGCACTCCAGCCTGGCAACAGGGTGAGACCCAGTATCCAAAAAAAAAAAAAAAAAAAAAGCCACTCCTGTTCTTCAACTACTGCAACTACTGCAACTGTTGATTTTGTTGGAGCAAAAACCTGGAAAGGAGTCACCTCTGGCTTTACCGAGACTAGAGCTCAGCACTCCTTCCTTACTCTAGAGAACCTTCTTTACTCCTACCCACACCATACCAGGACATTACTTCTCTCCTTCACTTACTACTCTAGGTTGATTTCTCTTACTTCCAACAAGTGTGCCAGTCTTCTATATCGTAAAGAAAACCTATCATCAGGTAAACTTTCTCCTCTCTATTTATAGAAATCACCTCAAAATTTATGTAAATCTTTATTAATCTTCTCTTTCTTTACCTTCTTTGATATTGTGGAGAAAGAAGTATCCTCTACTTCTCTCATCCTAACTCTGGGATCTTGATCAAAGTATTATTAACCATCCCTTTTTTTCTGGAAAAGCTTTCTTCCTTTAGTCCCCAGGACACTACTGACTTATTTCTTTCTCTCTTTCTGGAAATTTTTCCTGCTCCTTGACTTACTTCTATTTTGTTTCTGTTCCCAAGCAAAAATGTTTATCAGAGTTTCATCTTCAGAATTTTCCTCCTCTTACTCTCTCTCAGAAATATCCCTGTTATTCTGGTTTTTAAAATCTGAGTCTCTAACCCCAACTTCTCTTTCATTTCCCAGCCATTTGAATATCTCTACTTGATATTATTCTTTTTTTCAAAGAATATTTTTTTTAGCACCTACTATGCCAAACACTGGGGTATAATGGTGTGTATGACAGATGGTTTACCTTCTAATAATGAAATAATATTTTTTGAAATTAAATTGTTTATTTTCAAATTTACTTCTCCTAGCTTTGAAATGATCACTTTCTTGGAGACAAAAAAAAAAAATTACTGAGTTTGAAAACTGTCTGTGACATGTACCACCAGTGGGGTCTCAGGAGAGTCACTTGACCATTTTGAGTTGTGGTTTTATCAATATAAAATGTGGATAATGATACTTATTGCTAGATTTTTCAGTCTAAATAATAATGCATAAGCCCCAACCTCAATTGACAGGAAGAAATACAGGCTTTCACCAGAATTTCCTTTGACAGCATTTTTAGGAATCCTTAGAGGAATGTTTCACAGTCCAAAAATCTGTCCAAGCTGTCACAGTGTAGACAACTTTGAACTGTTTGGCCTTATTCTCAGCATCTCCACTCTAGGGCCACACTTCCCATACAACTATTCCCACAGTGTAGACAACTTTGAACGTTTGGCCTTGTTATCAGCATCTCCACTCCAGGGCCACACTCCACACTTCCCATACTACCCCCACAGTGTAGACACAGACTTCTCTCTTAATTCTTCCAAGCACAACTGTTATGGGTTGAATTGCATCCCCCCACCCAAATTCATATGGTGAAGTTCTAACCAGTAACTCAGAATGTTGCCTTATTTGGAGACAAGATTTTTACAGAGTAATGAAAGTTAGGTCATTAGGCCGGGCTCTAATCCAACATGACTGTTGTCATCTAAAAAGGAAAATTTAGACAGAGATATGCATGGAGGGAAGATGATGTGAAGAGACACAGGGAAAAAAATGGCCATCTACAAATCAACAAGAGAGGCATAGAACAAATTTTTCCCTCACGGCCTTCTGAAGAATCCAGCACTGCTGACATCTTGATTTAAGACCTCTAGCCTCTGCAACTGTGAGACAATCTATTTGTTATTTAAGATACCCAGTTTGTAGTACTTTGTTATGGCAGCCCTAGCAAACTAATACAAGAACAACTTCAATGTTTAAGCAAATTTTACTGAAATCTTGGTGATAGTGAAAGGGACTTACAACATAGCAAGTAATTTAAAACCAGGTACCAATTATGATAGTTCCTTGAGTGTAGACTATTTCTTGTACCAAATAGTCTCCTTCTGTCCGTTGTTATACTTAGCCTACCATTGCAACAGTGCTAGCACCCACCTTCACCTAAAAGAGTTATCTTTACACCTCCCTCCTATTCAGCATTCAGAGTCCTCCAACATTTCCCAGTATAAAGAGAAGGTGACCCAGATTTTCTTCCATGCTCTCTAAGGCCAGCTTCCCAGTTGTGACAAGAATCTATAGTTGCCAGATGTGGCTTATGCCTGTAATCCCAGCACTTTGGGGGGCCAAGGCAGGAGGATCTCCTGAGCCCAGGAGTTCAAGACCAGCAGGAGCAACAAAGAAAGACCCTGTCTTTAGAAAATAAAAAAAATAAAAAAACATTAGTTGGACACGGTGGTGTGTGCCTGTAGTCCCAGCTACCGTGGAGGATAAGGCAGGAGGATCACTTGAGCCCATGTGTTCAAGGCTTCAGTGAGCTGTGATCCTGCCACTGCACTCCAGCCTGGGCAGCAAAGCGAGACCCTATCTCCAAAAAAAAAAAAAGCATCTATAGCAGGAGACTTCAGTGAAAACAATGTTTTCATATCATATAAAATAGCTTACGCCCTCGTCATCTCAAACTTCCCCATCTCCATCCCACTGGTTCTACTTGCAAAATGAAAAAGCCCATTGTATTGCTTTCCCTAAACAAAAGAACAATTTGCCTTAAAAGCTGAATTTGAATCTTCGTTTTTATAGAAACAAAAACAATAGTTGGCAGTTGTATTCCCCATTTCCATACAAATTCCAGCCACCAATGATATTTAAAAACTTGGCAGTTTCAGTTACAGTATCTCATTACATACTTCTATTCATAGCACAAAGTCTGGCAACTAAAAGGTGCTAAATAAATGACGGCTTTATTTTATTTTTTTTTGTTAAAAAGATCACTGCCCAGTCAATACCAAACTAGAAACATTGTCTTCTCTGAATTCTCAGACTCCACTCCTTTCTCTTCTGTGTGGCAGGCCCTTCTCTGTGGTGTCTGACCAATAAGTTCCCATTAATCCTCCATGGTTTCCCTTGAAGTTATTGCACTCAAACATACCTAGTTAGAGTGAACCAATCCTTATCTATATTTCTAGAACACTTCAGGAAAATTCACATCATAGCACTTATTACATTGCACTTTTATTTCTTGCTCACATTCCTGTCTGTCCTATTAAAATGTGATTTCTGGGACAGCGGGTTAGGTCTTGCTCATTTTAGTTTCTGTTGTTCCTAGCATGCTTCATGGTATATAGTATGTGCTAAATGAGTATTATTGAATTAAATTACACAAATATTTTCAAGGAAAGAAATTCTATATTATTTCTCTTTATTTAATTTTAAATATCTTAAAAACCAGAATTCAACTTTCCGGTCACTCTAATTTATTCTCTTTGAGGACCCTGATGAAGCTTTCCCACCTTTCCATACATATAGCATCATGAAAAATAGGACATTAGCCATTTACTTCAAAACTTCTCTCTAGAGAAGGAAAAGTGAGATTTTTTTCTTTCTAAATTCAGAGGACAGAAATTTGTTATTGTTTAATCACACTAATACAGCATTACATGTAAAATGCATTCACTTTTTTACTAAATTAATGTCTTCTGATTTGTTAAAGGAACAATTTGCTTATGTATTTAGTTCATTAACAATTTTAACTTATCAGAACCTGTTTATGAATTAAGTTTCCTGAGCACCAAAATCATGGATTAAAAGTTCTGAAATACATTTCTCCCAAAAGGAACAATTTCTTCACAACAGAAAAATACCCGTTTAAAATATGTGTTTGGTAGAGAAGAGAGAAAACAACGTAGGCTCAATAAATGTTTGGGGTAGACTGGCAGATTTATATTTTATTACTGAATGCGGTGGTTCTTTTACATCTGAATAAATGTGAAATGGTTTTCAAACTGATAACTAAGTATTTTGATAAAATTGGAACAGCTTAATCAACTTCATTAATTTCCTAGAGCTGCTATAACAGCACAACACAACAGAGTAGGTGACTTAGAACAACAGAAATTGATTCTCTCACAGTCTGGAGGCTAAATGTCAAAATCAAGGTGTCAGCACAACATGCTCTCACTGAGACCGTTAGGAGAATCCTTCCTTGCCTCTTCCTACCTTCCGATAGTGGCTGGAAGTCCTTGGTCTTCCTCTCCTTATAGATAAATCACTCCAATTATTTCTTCTGTTGTCATGTAGCCATCTGTCTTCGTGTGGTGTTCTCATATCTTATAAGGACACCGATCATATTGGATTAAGGCCCATTCCTATTTCCAAGTAAGGTGACATTAAAAGATACTGGGGGTTAGGGCTTCAACACATGAATTTGGGAAAGGGGGTATGCACAATTCAACCCATAACACCAACTGTAATAAATTCTATATTGTTGTAAAATATCTCTTTGGTAGCAAAGTTAGTATATGCCAAAAAAAAAAAAAAACCACCCATAAGAATGTTTATATTTAAGCTACAGTAGAAAGGAGCATGTGAGTGACTATTTAGATTATAGTTACTGCTTAAGAAATACTTCTCCTTTCCCTCTTTTGTGTATATCTAGTTTAGAATTGAGGCCAATAAGATATCATCTCAAAATACTCGAGTGCTTCCCATTATTTATTATCTGTAATATACTAGATATATAATTTTGGACATCATCCTGCAGTTGAATGTTAGCTAAAATAATCATATTACTTTGTCTAAATGTAGTATGAGATCCTTTAAATATTTTAGTAATAAAACTTCCTTTGGGGCCGGGCGCGGTGGCTCACGCCTGTAGTCCCAGCACTTTGGGAGGCTGAGGCGGGCGGATCACGAGGTCAGGAGATCGAGACCATCCCGGCTAAAACGGTGAAACCCCGTCTCTACTAAAAATACAAAAAATTAGCCGGGCATAGTGGCGGGCGCCTGTAGTCCCAGCTACTCGGGAGGCTGAGGCAGGAGAATGGCGTGAACCCGGGAGGCGGAGCTTGCAGTGAGCCGAGATCCCGCCACTGCACTCCAGCCTGGGCGACAGAGCGAGACTCCGTCTCAAAAAAAAAAAAAACAAAAAAAAACTTCCTTTGGTTGAAGAATCTAAAACATAATTGCTATACGCCGCCAGATTCTTCTCTGTAGAAGAATCATTCTGAAAATATAGTATAAAAACTGTGTGTATGGGCAAAAATGATAATTTAATACACATAAGGTAAATAAACAAGTAACTTTTAACTTTGTGAAGTGTTAGCATTTATATTTTAATAGCAAATGTTGTGATTTTATCATCTGACTTAGTTATTCTCCCATTTCACAGATAAGAAAACTGAGGCACTGAGAAGATAAATTGATTGCCATTCAATGAGTATTGACAGAGAAGGATCAGCTCTCGTGTCTATTGGGTCACAGCCTTATTAGTTTGATACTTATTAGAAAGTGTATTTCCTGTTCAAAAACATTGATTGGGATTCTACTGTGGGCAAGAGGCTGGGACAGATGTAAAGCAATAGGTTCCTTATTGATAAGATGGTTACCACCTATTGATAAAATGGAATAGTACAAGATTTGTGCAAGAAATTCACTAAGACAGCCGGGAGCGGTGGCTCACGCCTGTAGACCCGGCACTTTAGGAGGCCGAGGTGGGCAGATCACGAGGTCAGGAGATCGAGACCATCCTGGCTCACACCGTTAAACCCCGTCTCTACTAAAAAAAAAAAAAAAAATACAAACAATTAGCCAGGCGTGGTGGCAGGCGCCTGTAGTCCCAGCTACTCGGGAGGCTGAGGCAGGAAAATGGCGTGAACCTGGGAGGCGGAGCTTGCAGAGAGCCCAGATCATGCCACTGCACTCCAGCCTGGGCGACAGAGTGAGACTCCGTCTCAAAAAAAAAAAAAAAAAAAAAAAGAAAGAAATTCACTAAGACTACACAGCAATGTACAGTAAGTACTAAAAGAATCGTATAAGTAAGCATTAGAAGGTTCACAAAAACGGAGAGTGCACAGGAAATGAATTGTAAACAAAGGCTTCATGAAAGAAGGACTTGAGTTGGGTTTTAAAAGAGTTGAAGAATAAATCCTATATGCAATGAAGAATTGTTGAATATGTCCAAGTAAGACAATGAAATGATTAAGTCAGTGTTTTAGAAAGATCTATGTAGTAGTCAGAATTGTTCACCCTGGATAACTTGTCTGAAAAATTTCCCTCTTCCTCATTTATCCCCCACCCCTGCCAACGGTTCCTATTTTTCTATAAAACTTCTATTTGTCCTTAAAATTAAGTTTGGGTTTTAGAAAGCCTTTCTGATCTCTCCATGCAATATCATACAAGCATCTTCCCTTCTCCCCATTGGGAAAGTTCTAGTACCTTGTGTTTATTTCTGCATAGCAGTTATATTAAAATGAATTGTTTATCTTCCCCTCTGACCCATAAGCTACTTGAGGTGAAGAGCTAGGCATGTTTCCTCTCTGTGACTGCAGCAAAAAGCATGTATATAAAAAATAGTAGCTATTCAATGAGGATTTGTTGCTTTAAACTGAGTAGTGGTAATAACCTGGATTTGTTAAAGAGGGAAAGACTAAAGCCTAAAAGATCAGTTAAAAAACCACTGCAACAACTCGGACATTAAGTAAAGAGTGTTTAAAGGGAGCAGCCTCACTGGGAATAGTAAGGAACTGGTGAAATTATTGAAATGTGTGACTAACTAGATATGGGTTAAGAAGAAATAGGTTGTTTGGGGGTTCCAGGCTCAACTTACTAGAAAACAAGAGGGCTGTGAATTCTTGCTGTTTTGTAGTAGTCCTTACCTGGGCACCATGGACTTCTAGAGAGGTCTAGGATATACTTCCAAGGGTCCTTGAAGCCCTGAAATTATTTGCAAGTTTATGCATGTAAGGTTATGCATGTATTTTCCTTGGGAGAGGCTTTATAGTTCTCACTGAATTTTTGGAAATCTCGGCCTTTAAACTTGTTAAGCACTACAGTTCTATTCAAAAGTATAGTATTATCTTAATAATAGCCATAGTCTTTGTGAGAGATATCATTCTTTAAAAATATTGACTGATGTGGCACCTCACAGTACCTTTTGTCAATTGTTGAAACCAGATTACTGAAAATAATATTGAAGACCCAGAGCCCTGCCACTTTCTTACTATATAACTTTAAGCAAATTACTTTTCTAAGATTTTTCTTATACTGTTAAATGCAGTAATGATAACACATGCCTCTTAGTGTTGTGAGGATTCCATGAGATAATGTGTATACAATTTTTAGTGCTCAATATTAGCTAAATATTATTTGTATTATTACTCATTTAATTCTAACAGTGGCCATATATTATAATGCCAACATTGTAATAGGTGGCCCCCCATCATATCGCATTAAATTCCTCAATCAATTTGATGAAGGTCTAGTTTTACATTAAGGTTACAGACAAGATGGAGACAGGTAAATACCTTGCCTATGGTCACACAGCTAATTAATGGCTGAGCCAATACTAGAAGAGGTCAGCCAGACGTCTGAAAACAGGTGACTGTAGGGCAAGCAAGAGAGGGAGCACAGAACAGAACAAACAGTCAGTGATAGGGTGAGCAGTAGGATGAGAGATCTGGAGTAGCCGTACCAAGGAGACTTTTCAAAAGATGTAACACTTACCACAGGACATAAATGATCATCTTTTTGCTGGCTAGAAATTAATTCTAGGCTTGGCCAGCCTTGGATCTATAAGTGGGTGAATGTAAATTGTGTGTGGGTGGCAGGAAGGCAAGGAAAATGAGACTGGATATGAGAATAGATACGTTGTGACCAGCTGCAGTAGTGATTACAAAATGTTCGTTTACTTTGACCTATTGGACATGGATAAAAATGGGAATACTAGGCATACATTAAACATTATCCAGATGTTTCATATGTGAAAGTATTTTAAATTCAGCCTGTGACGTTAATAGAGTATTTTAATTATTTTACACACACACACACACACACACACACACACACACACACAGAGGTAATTGATTGGAAAGTGACCAGAATTTACTGTGTACTCACATAACCATCTAGGGCCACCATTGTCAAAGATTGTGTTGTATTTTTCTCCTCATGAGCAACCCTAAGATTTGGTTTGGTTGGTTCCAGCTCTGAACAGTACAAGTGATATGGTTTGGATTTATGTCCCCACCCAAATCTCATGTCAAATTGCAATCCCCAGTGTTGGAGATGGGGCCTGGTGGAAAGTGATGGGATCATGGGGGCAAATTTCCCCCTTCAGTGCTGTGCTCATCGTAGAGTTCTCACGAGATTTGGTTGTTCAAAAGTGTGTAGCCCCTGCCCCCTGTTTCTCTTCCTCCTATTCCAGCCATGTAAGATGTGCCCATTCCTCTTTGCCTTCAGCCATGATTGTAAGTTTCCTGATACCTCCCTGGTAACCAACAAATGCCAGCATCATGCTCCCTGTACAGCCTTTGGAACTGTGAACCAATTAAACTTCTTTTCTTTATAAATTACCCAGTCTCAGGTATTTCTTTTTTCTTTTCTTTTCTTTTCTTTTCTTTTTTTTTTTTTGAGACTCGTATTTCTTTATAGCAGTGTGAGAATAGCCTAATACACCAAGAATGATTCAAGCCCACTGTACCAAAGCTGGGATTTCAGATGATAACACAAACCCAGAGGGAAATTGATCCAAGACTTTTTTTCATTAAACAAGAACTCTGGGGATAAGGGGAAAGGAAGGGCCAATACCATTCCCCAACAGGGCCTGGAGGCCAGAAGTAGGTCATTCTTAAAACAAAAATTGGGATTGTTTTTCATTTTTCTGCAGCTTTTCCCTTTGTGAGATCTGTTTCAGCACAATGGTTACATTTGGGAGTGAATTACTCTCTTTTAAACAAATAGATATTATTTGCATATGCTAAAAATTCCATTCATGATTTAGTTGCTAATTGTTTATCTAGCATTTTGCTGCTCATTCTTCTACTTTTGCCTGCTGTTCTTTTGACAATTTTAGAGGAGGATTAAGGAAAAGGGAAAATGAACCACAACTGGGAGAAATATGAAGACTCATAAACTTTGGAAGAGGGACATTATATATATTGACCAATATGGTGGTGTTGAATTACATTTTGATTAGAAAGTAGTGGCAGTTAGCACATTAGCTTTGACTTCAAATAGACCTGAGTTTAAATCATACCTCTGGAACCTACCTTAACCTTAAGCCTGAAAATTAACCTCCTCAGGCTTCTATTTTCTTATACGTTAATGGAAATAATGCCGACTTCCTTAGATTTTTCTAAAGATTAAAAACTATAATTTATCTTAAGTACCTAACACATGGCAGTGCTTCTTCACACCTGGCTATTCATGGCTCCAATAATTATGGATAATTAGGAATTGGCTGTAGATTATACATTCATTAGATGGCTGAATGTGTTTTTATTGCTGTAGGTTTCATTGGACTATATTATGAGCAGGACTGTTACTTAAATGACTCTCCAGTGATAATTAGGCATTATTAGAAGTTGTAATAAGTCTTGCAGTATTTTTGTCATTATCCTAAAATTATTGGACTATTATAGCCCATTTATAGGTAGATTAGAACATATATTCTCCACCCTTTAAAAGCCCATACTCCATTCAGTTTAAAGACTGTGGTAATAAAAACAGGAAAAAAGCCAACCTCCCAAACCATCATGCTGCATATTATCTTTCTTAGTAGGAAGTTACAAGGAAGAGGGTGAAAGCAGTTGGCATAGAATGAGCTATTTTCTTTATCAGCTGATTTTAATGTGCATGTTGTGTCCATTCCCAGGTAGATAGGGTTCTGAATGAGTTACCATCTTCCAAAAAAACATATTGTTTTACCAAGAAATAATTTAGTCCCAGTAGAGTTCTGCCACAGCATGTTCATTGCTTTGGAGAATTATAATTAAGAAGCTCATTCAGTATTTCCAATTAAAACAATGATCTAATTAGACTGATTGCCCCACCTAATTTCTAGCTCCAGATGTGGGCCTACCTGCTGAATGAACAAGGATCCTTGAGCACTAGCGTATGCATTCTAACTGGGGAGCACAGGGGTCAATGCCCAGAGGGCATAGACAAAGCCCCTCATTGGGAATTGCCTGGAATTTTGCTGATGTAGGAAATATATATAGCTCCCTGTTTAAGATTATTACATGTGTCTTTTCTTTCATAAACAAAGTTTCTGATCTGTATTTAAAATGCAAATTAATGCTTTAAGCATCTATGAAGTCAATAAGTACTAGCTTCCCCCCACCCCCACTTTTATTTAAATGGGAAAGTGAGGTTCAGTGATTGCTTTTGACTTGGAATCGTGGAAGATCAGTGGCTGAGAAAATCTTTTGGGATTATCTGGTTAAGTTCCCTTTTCACAGGTGAGGCAAATTAAGGCACAGACAGGTGAGCCAGACACTAGTCTCCTAACTTACGGCTCAGTGTTGGAAGCAGTGGCTACCTCCTTTTTTTTTTGCCCACCCCCCCCCACTCCTGTAATTTTTGTCTTTTATTTCCTTTGAAAGAAATCTGGTTCCCCTTCCTTTATCCTTTTATAGGGCCTATTTAAAAGATATTAGGCCTGTCCATACACTAAAGAACATCTCATTGACTGTGACAATGGGCGAGATGAATGATGGGTTATAAATATTTCTCTCTTCCTTAATAGCTAACAATCTTCTCCAAGGACTGTGGACTCCTGTTCCCTGCTCATCATGTCATGGGCATCTGCCAGGAACCATCTTTGATGGTGTAAAAATCTTGAATACATAAGAGGGAAATTTTAGACTTGTTAGAAAGAAGCCAAGCAATTGAGACCTTAGATAGAACTTAGAATTCTCACCGAGTTTTGTTGGGTAATTGTTACTTCAAAAAAAAATGCAATTTCTGTTCCCTCTTTCCTCCAACCATTTATCTGGGAAGCAAGTTATTGGCAACCCAGAGCTGATTGTTGGAGCCGGGGAAAATGGTGTGAAATGTGAGAAAATGTAATTGAGATAATAAAAACAAAAGATTTTACAATATATTATCCTCTAAGTCATCCATTAAAAAATTGGTAGCAAAAATGTGCAGTGTTTCAAGACTTTTCTTTTTCTTTTTTTTTTAATAACAGATTTAAAGTAGAACAAAAAGTAGACTTCAAAGACGTTTTGTATTCTTTGAACATAACCGAGATATTTAGTGGTGGCTGCGACCTTTCTGGAATAACAGGTAGTATGATAAATAATTCTTATATTATGATGTTAATTTGTTTTGTTAGGACTACATTAACTAGCTGAGCTTAAAACTGAAAGAGCATTCAGCTCTGATAAATATACGCACAGTGAATAAATGTCATAGTCATGTTGAGCTGTCTGTAAACAAGCACTTTATGTTTAAGTAGTTTTTCTTAATGAAAGTCAAAAAGCATTTTAGAATGTTAGATAAGCACTCTGGCTATACTTCTAATAAAACTACATAAGTAAAAGTATTATATGGGTTTTTATTTCTGCCCTGTTTGGATCTCCTCATCTGAATAATGGGAATTACAACTTTGAGTCTCTCATCTAAGCAGAGCTAATACAACTCTTATAAACCAATTTGCAAATGTTAATTCACTAATATGAGAACACATGAAATAGTCATCCATAAGCTGCTGGATGATGAACACAATCAAGAAATTGTAACGCTACAGCTTGCAGATTTAGCAACAGAGTCTTTTGGGCTGACAACATATCTGAGAAGATAAGATGGAGCTCTTATGCTAACTCGCATCAGGGGAATCCTGCATGGTTAACACGTTCACTTGTACAACAAAGCCAAGATAGTCTTTGAATTCTTCGAGTCTCAGTGGTACACACTAGTTCAAAAATAACTCGCTAAAAAAATGGATGAAGAGAGCCAGTTTGTCCCAAGTTACTTACCCTCTTTTAAATTCAGTCTTCTGTTCTATAAAAATGGGCCTAAGCTTGTCTGTCTGATGGGGTTGTAAATCATAACATGAAATAGTGCAGAAATGTTTTATGTATTTATTTCTATATAGGTATCTGGGCTTTGGAAACGTGTTGTTAATTTAGTCATCACCCATCAATTATATGGGCAAATGAACAGAATGAAAAACTTTCCTGGTGGAGGAGGTGAATGAGGTCACAAATATCAAAATGTTCATTATCACCTTCACACACGGTGTAGCTACTCGTTCTCACACTGACAGATAGATCTGACTTCTCTGACAATTTTGTCCGCACTAGGTATGAGATGGTCAACATTAAATACTGCAACAGGATGCTCTGTAAGTGTGCCCTGAGACACAACCACCTCTTCAACCTTCAATAATCCAAACTATTTTTCATGCACTTCCTTTTCTTAAACTTCTTTCTGGCCATAGGGAGATCACTCAATATGCCTCAGACACTTCAAACAGCCACTTGTTCTGCAAATTCCCAGCAATTTGTGACTTCTAAAAAATCTCCTGTTACAGGCAGATTTTTAAAGAAAATACTTCCAAAATGTTTCATAAAAGACTTTATTCAAGAAAATGACCCAGTGCAGAAAAGAATAAATGTCCAGCATCTTCTGTTCTTTCCCTCTTGAGTTACCTATTTGAGCTGTTTTAACCATTTTGGTTCCGTCTTATTGCCTAGAATAGAATAGTCATAGCCAATGCTGATACCCCTGCTGGTAGCTAGGAGCACAGTAAATTCTCTGCTATCTCTACTTATCATTTGTACAATAAACATTCACTAAAGGCTACTATGAAGCAGCCCAACACTAGTCTTATGGGACATCTGTGTGAAAGGGACACTACCTTATATTTATATAGTTCACAAGTTTTGAATGAAATGTTTTTATAGAGTTATTTTGGAAACTGTTAGAAAAATATTTGACTTCTCACTCAGTTACTACTCCTTGTGTAACCTGTAGTAAAATATTTAACCTTTCTGAGTGTAAGCATTCTAATCTGTTAAGTGAGATAATATAGTGACTGGGGAAATAAATAAAAGAATGTATGTAAATCATCTAGTTTAACATTTGGCACATAGTTAAATATAAAACAGCAAGTGGGAAAAGTATCACATTAATATTACTTGCACATCTAGCAAACGTATTGTTTTCTTGTTCTCTTAATTTAATAACAATGTACTTAGAATTTTCATTTAAAAATTAAGAGAAATAATGACTATGAAGGTATAATGAATGAGTTTGTAGAGTCCACATTCTTACTTCTAACCTATCATATTTCAGGGCCTGTTCTTTTCCTAAGACTGGGCTTTCTCTGCAGTGAGATGGAACAAAGGAGACTAAGTGGATTAGTCTAATAGCCAGGGAGTCATTTGGGCTGGTGCCATTGCTAAACTGGGTGAAATTCTTCACTCCTTCCTAACCTGCTTTTTGGTCTTTCCTCTTGGTGTGGGCCACTAGGTCATTCCCTCTGTGTTTATTTGTCTTCTTCCAGGCAGTCCTGGGAGAAGAAGGTGCTTATTTGCCGGACCTTGAGAGAAATTCTCTCGCATTTCAGTTAATTCACACTAATAGTGTGGATGCCCATCTCTCTCCACTTTACAGGTTTCTATCACTAGACATACTCAGATGCATTGACCTATTTATTATTGACTTATATATTACAAATATTTATTGCGAGCCAATTATGAGCCAGGCAGTTTTCTAGAGCATGCTTCCTTTGTCCTCTGAGGAACATTGTCAGATCTATCTTGTCTTGCAAGGCCAGCTTGACATGGCTTCTGGGCTCCGGGTTTCACTTCTTCCTTCTTGAGGAGACTATACTTGCAATTCACTCTACCAGAAACGCTTCACATATACATCAGTTCCACCAAGGGGAGAAAAAGGAGCATTCACTCTCAGCTCATATCCACACCAGAACAAAACGTTGTAAAGCACGATCTTATGCTGAAAATTTTAACAGGTTTTAAAGTGTATCTCTGAAGTGATTTTGTAACAGGTGACACAGAAGTTCCTTAGAATTTCATAGCTTCCCCAGATTTGAAGGCAAGTACATTTTATTTTAAACTACGATCAAAACCAAATACAGAATATAAAAGGCACTTTGGCTTTGAGGTTAAATATACAGGGTGGGATTAATTCAGATCTGGAAAGCCTCTTTCATTCTGTCTATAGACAATGGCTAAGGGAGGAAAAGCTCTCTGTCCCTTCAAATATTTCACTTAGTTGGATACCTGATTTGAGGCTTACATCATTTACCTTTTATATCACAGAAAAACTTGATCTCTCTCTGTATATATGTCATCTCTGGAAGAGCTAAACCTATAAATCACCTTTATCTGTTGCAAATTGACTAAATAGGAAAAAGTTCATTTATTTGTTTCCTTGTCTTTGATCATTTGAAAATCTAATGATGCTGGGCGTGGTGGCTCACACCTGTAATCCCAGAACTTTGGGAGGCCAAGGCGGGTGGATCACCTGAGGTCAGGAGTTCGGGACCACCTGGCCAACATGCCGAAACCCCACCTCTACTAAAAATACAAAAATTAGCCAGGTGTGGTGGCAGGAGCCTATAATCCCAACTACTTGGGAGGCTGAATGGTAGAATCGTTTGAATCTGGGAGGCAGAGGTTGCAGTGAGCTGAGATCGTGCCAGTGTACTTCAGCCTGGGTGACAGAGCAAGACTCCATCTCAAAAAATAAATAAATAAATAAATAAATAAATGTAATTAATTGAGATCTAATAGGTAACGGCTTTTGATTTTAACTCTTAAATACACTTTTGTGTATTTTTTTTTAACCAGATTCATCTGAAGTGTATGTTTCCCAAGTGACGCAAAAAGTTTTCTTTGAGATAAATGAAGATGGTAGTGAAGCTGCAACATCAACTGGTAGGGTGAATGATTTCTGGCCAAGCTAGAAGGAAACATGGGGAGAGGATGAACATTATGGTGCTGACCCTTTTGAAGTATTGTACTCTTCTTTTTCTCTTCTGCTGTCTAATACACTTCAGGAGGAAAAAAAGGAAATGGTTGTATACGCTGTTCATATTTCTCTTCAGTCACAGCATGATACAAAAAGGAAGGGAAGGGGTTTGATTAGGAGTTGAGACCTATCTACTGATATTTGCTTACTTGCGAATTGGATTACCTGTGAATTAGCAGATAGGACTTGTGGATAAAACTTTAGGGCTCAAATATAAAATCATTATTTTTTAGGAATGCTCACCCTTACGTAATTGTATTTTATTTCATTCTTTCATTACACCAAGTTAGTCACCACTTTGCTAATTTGATTCTTGTTATTATCTCTGTGGCAGTGGCTCTCAAACTTAACCTGCACATAAAAATCACCTGGGAAGCTTTAAAAACTCCTATGCCCAGTCAACCGGGCGCGGTGGCTCACGCCTGTAATCCCAGCACTTTGGGAGGCCGAGGCGGGTGGATCACGAGGTCAGGAGATTGAGACCATCCTGGATAACACGGTGAAACCCCGTCTCTACTAAAAATACAAAAAATTAGCCGGGCGTGGTGGCGGATGCCTGTAGTCCCAGCTACTCGGGAGGCTGAGGCAGGAGAATGGCGTGAACCCAGGAGGCAGAGCTTGTAGTGAGCCTAGATCGCGCAACTGCACTCCAGCCTGGGCAACAGAGCGAGACTCCATCTCAAAACAAAGCAAAACAAAACAAAACAAAACTCCTATGCCCAGTCCACACCCCAAAATAATTATATCAGTATTTCTGGAAGTGAAATCCAGACTCCAAAATTTTCATAGGTTTTCCTAAGTGATATCAATGTGCATGGAAGAACCAGTGCTCCATAGTGCTTTGCAGCTTGCCTTTTTTATTACAAATGTAGTGCATAGACCAACAACAGCACCACTTGGGAACTCGTTAGAAATGCAAAATCTCAGATCCAAACCCTAGACCGACTGAATCAGAATCTGTATTTTGCAAGATCACTAGGAAATTTGTATGTACATTCTAGTTAGAGAACCACTCTTCTAGGCCATATTTCCTTGAACAAATGACATTTTAAATAGCATCTGTGCTGCATATAAATAATGCTTGAAAAATAATTAGAAAAAAGCCCTAAAATAATTATAAATGGACAAGCAACTTTAATGAATTCCTTGTAAGTCTATTTTAATTCCCCATACTATTTGGATTTTAATCAATATTTAAAAGCTATTTATCATTTCAATGTCTTACTGATAAATATATAAAAATTGATATTCATTTATTAATTTCTTGATTAATTTGCAATGCTGCATTGGGCCAATGGATTTTGACATCTGGATGAAACACACTGGACTCCCTTACAATTTTGTCATCTCCTGAAGGATCTTGCATTGCTGTGCTCAAGGAACTTGGATTGTAGGGGATGAACTATATTAATCTTTGAAGAAGTCAAAAGGTTATATTTGGATGAAATTGCTGGATCATGTAGACAAATTTTCCAGCTGCTTTCAAACAGTACTGAGAGAGTCCTTATAGATTATTGTTTGATCTCATTATATTGGTGAAGAAACAGGCCCAGCAATGTAAAGTGGCTTACCTGAGGCCATATTATTGATTGACAGCAGAATTTGAACGCAACTCATGTTCCCTGACTTTAAGTTCAGAGCTCTTTATGTTATTGCCCACTGTCTCTCATTTTAAGTCTAAAATTTTCTAGGATTCTGTAACAATCATTAAGAGAAGGTAGATGAATCAAAGTAAAACTCCTCAGAATAGTCAGTCTGGGTATTTTGACTTTCAGAAATCCACTCACGGACTGCTCAAAAGCAAAAAAAGTCCAAGTATTCACTGTAAATGGGAATGGGAGTAAAACTGATCTTGCTTTTGGATTTATCGTAGTAATTCAGACATGAGCCTATATTCACTGGTTATTTAGGTATACCCTTGATATTCTGGATAGGAGAGTGCCAATCATGTTATCATACTAAGATTATATTTGACTGTTTTATAATTCTAATGATACATAGTGATTTTATTTTTCCTGGGGTCTGAAAATAACAGTACAAAATAATTCAATTATTGGGAAATACAGTATCTGAATTAAGCATAAAACATTTAATCTAGATAGGAAAAATATCTAACTTTTTATATTTTCCTATTCTAAATATTGACAAATACTGTAATGGAGCAACATAATATAAATAATCATAGAAAGTAATTTTTAAGGCAGCAAATTTCTGCTTCAAATCTCATAATAAAAATCTCACACACATTCACTGCACAAATCCTAAAAGCTCTGAGCTCACAGAATAATTTTGAAAGAGTAAGTAAAAAAAAAAATTAATTTGAGCTCAGATGTGATTACCACAAACCCGAAGTGCAAATATACCTAAATAGGAATTAGGAATTACAAACATTGTAGAAATAAATCATATAATGCAAATAAAAAGTGAACAGAAAATTACTGTTTAAAAGATAAATTTTTTCAACTGCTTTCACTAAATTGAATCTGGTATCTGGCTTGCTTCTTCATTGAGCATACATATAAAGTTAGAATTATTCTGTGAGTGACCTAATATTTATTCTTCAGTACTTTGGTTTTTAAATTTATTGCAAATTCCTCTGTATTTAGAAAATGGTTATTTTTCCACATGTTAACTCCTTACACAAAATGACTTTTCCTGTCTACAAAATGTATTATGAATATACTTTCTTTACTGATCTTTTAATGCAAGTATCTAAATAACTGTTGTCTCTATTTTATAGGCATACACATCCCTGTGATCATGAGTCTGGCTCAAAGCCAATTTATAGCAAATCATCCATTTCTGTTTATTATGAAGCATAATCCAACAGGTACCTTTTTTGAGAATTATTTGGGGGAACTGATTATGTTAAGCAGAACTAGTTCCAGTTTCTAATTGCAATGTACATATCTGAAGTCATTTGTTCTTTCAGTGGATATTTGTTAAGTGCATTTTATATACCAGGAATTGTATTTTAAGAGATGACCGAGGCCTAAAATAGGGCAGTGGTAATAATGGCTGCCATCATGGCTACTATATGCGGTAGCCATTTCATATAACCATCAGTAAAGCTAAAACCACTCCAGAAGATTAGATATTTGACTAGTAAAGAACAAAAGCTCAGAGAAAGATTGTATGGTTTGTCTCAGGTTACGTAGCTAGAAAGTGTCAGAGTGGGAATAAAGGTCAACTGTCTGTGTATGATGCCACATTGGGGATGGAAATTGAGAGGTGTGGAGTTGTGAAAGAATTCAGAGGTGGATACCAAAACAGTAAGTGACTAATGTAGGTTCTGAGGGATAGGAAGGAGTCAAAGGTAATTTCAAATCTTCAACTTGGGCAACTGGTGAAAGATGATGCAGTTAGGTAAAGGGAGTGTAGAAGTAGTGGATTGGATTAGCACTGGGCACAGTGTCAACACAGGGAAATTCAGATTGTCTGGATGGATGCTTCAGCACTTTCTCTTGTGAGTAAGAGAAGCCAGAAATGTGAATACAGTGGGAAAATTGTCAAGTTTATGTTTAGGATCCTTCAGCAGTCATAATGCTCATGTGAGAGTTACATACCACAGGATAGTAGAAATTATATTTTACTCATCTCTGTATTCAGGCCAATATTTGGCAAAATGCCTTGCACATAGTATCAGTTTCCCTATAGACAGAGGGTGTGAAATTGGGTTGGGCTCAATTTCCAGCTGAATTCACTAACAGTTGTGAAACAAGTTGCTTGTCCTTTCTAAGCCACATTTTCCCTATATCTTATTTGAACATAATAGTAGTGCTCATCTCATAGAGTTAAATAAAAGAATTTTTGAAGCCTGTAACACTGTGCCTGGCACATACTAAGTGTTCATTATGAATAAATTAATAAATATGAATGAGGGAGTGAATAAAAGAAGAAAGGCAAGTGAAAAAGTTTAAAGTCATTTACAGGGAGAAGAGACATAGTTAATTGCAGAATCTGAATCTATTAGATGAACTAGCGATACTGATATTATTGGCCCAGTAAGGGATACTTCACTCTTTTTTGGCTCCATGAAACTAATGCTGAGAGACCCTTCTGAAAGTCATATCTTAAAAACAATGAAACAGTTTTAGAATTGATGAGATTGCATTAACACAACTTCAATTCTAGTAATGGCTGTGTCAGTGTTCAAATGTATTCTAAGTATGTCATTTGATCTATGTGTCTGTCTAACCTTTAGATAATTCTAATTTTTTACAATTAATATATAATTATGTAGTATGGAGACAGAAAGAAAAAAAGCTACATTGGGCATCAATGCACAAGTAAATAATGGCATTTAGAATAATTATGTTTTACTCTATTTTCCAGGTTGATGACTTGTTATATGCAAAGGCCAAGTAACAGCTATCAGTAAAACAGCAGCAAAAGTTCAAAACCCAAAATAACCCACTTATCTGTTTATTTGTGATAATGCTTAACTAGCAGGTCTTAATGACAGTTTGAACTGTTTTATGTTCTTTATTGTAGTGAGACTTTCTAAACTAGGGTTACTCCTTTAAAGTATTGTTTAAAATAAATGGCCGCTCATTTATCAGGGACTGTCCGTTGTTGCCATATAAAATGTAGAAAGGGCCGTTATCTTAAGACAATACATATTTAGTGATTTATCAATTTTTCTCTCACAAATGAACTCAAGAAATCATTGAGATTAATGAAGATAGTGATTTAGCATCACCATAGTGAACTATTAAATGGCTTCATGGTATACATAAAGTGTATTCTGTTGATGATTTCTGAAGTATGAGGATGAATGATTTTAGGTTTAGTACAATCAATTTTTACATAGCCTGGAAATTTTCTTTGATCCAAACAGTCCTTTTGTGCAAAATCTAGCCATTATTTGGATTTTCCTATCAGATGAATTTTATATTGCAGTATATTCCTCTAAAGCCCTTACTAAGCTAAATTTCTAGGACAATAAAGCACCTTTTTAAGGTTGGGGATGTAGGCCAACTTTATAGGCTTTGAGAAGAAAATTGTGAAGGATACTCATGAAAGGTACCATTCCTGAAAAAATAGTGAATTATGATTTTGAAATTGACAGGACTCCAGACATAATGAAAGTTATTGTGTTTAGAACTCTTTTGGGTTGTGTGTTGAGGGGAGAAGCAGATTGCAGAATATCCATTAAGAATTTTTTTTCTCGCCATTAGCTTGGTAATGCTATTGTATTGTAATATTAGGAGGTAAAAGTTGCTTCCATCTGATGAAGATGTTGTATAAATATATTGATTAAATATGGGGGTACCTATTTAGGAAGGAAGCATGAAGATAAAAAATAATCATTTTTGCTTCAGTCTGCCTCTAAATTCTTCACTATTATGTCAAGGGAGATTTTATTAATCTGCCCAATTTAGTAGTAAGTAGATTGATGATGGCATGAAGATTCAATTCAAAATGTGATTCTTCCTGGAGAAAGAGACAGATTGAAAAGGCTGGGACTAATGGGTTTTATGTAACATTCTACCCTTCTAGGTATTTAAAATTTTAAGATATTGTCCTCAATTATAACTTAGTGTTTATAGAAGTTACTTTAAAATTTTTCCAGACAAACTACTCTGATGAGCATTTTAATGCCATAGCATTATGGCATTAATATTATGAAGATATAGGAGTCGCTGCTTATTCCTGTTGTGACTAAATGTAATATCTATTCTAGGAGATGTATTTATGTATCTTTATCTATCTGAAATATTGGGGTATTTGTTTTCTTTTTTCCAGAATTATTTTAATATTTTGAAACAAAACATTGTTGACTATAATTATTCATAATAAAAAGTAAAATCTGGGCCAGGCGCGGTGGCTCACGCCTGTAATCCCAGCACTTTGGGAGGCTGAGGCGGGAGGATCACGAGGTCAGGAGATCGAGACCATCCCAGCTAATACGGTGAAGCCCTGTCTCTACTAAAAATACAAAAAATTAGCCAGGCGTGGTGGCGGGCACCTATAGTCCCAGCTACTCGGGAGGCTGAGGCAGGAGAATGGCGTGAACCCGGGAGGCGGAGCTTGCAATGAGCGGAGATCCCGCCACTGCACTCCAGCCTGGGTGACAGAGCGAGACTCCGTCTCAGAAAACAAAACAAAACAAAACAAAAAAATAAAATAAAATCTGCTGGAGTTTATGTCTATTTCCATGTTATTTGTTCTTCAAAGAGTGTGTCTTTGGACTGAATAGTAGAGTTAATAAAAAAGGGCCGTCCCACTATTATTTCAAATGCATTTAAATATCATTTTATTAGCTTTAAAATTATGCAAAATTTGTCGCCTTTGAAATTAACCTTTATGACATCCGAGCATAAGGAACTTAAGGCAACATTTGACACTGATTGATTTAGGCCACTTCTCTTAACCCAGTTTAAAAGAAAGGTGAATAGATTTTGGTACATCATTCTTTCTGTTTTGTCCTTTAGTTCTTAGTTCCTTTTCACTTGCAAACACAGAATGGTTGAAAACAGGTATTTGCATTTATGCTGTATACTATATCACTTTGGTCAGTATTTGAAAATACTAGAGATATAAAAATATTGTCATTGGAGGTAAAGTAAGCTTTGATTCAGAGCTGAAAAAGGAGAACTGGGAAGTTGCACTTTTAGCCCTTAAGACTTACATTACATGCATAAAATGATGATTGCTAATGCCTTAAATTTAAAACTCTACCACGCTCATCACCGTTTTATTATGCTATGTTCTCCGGACTGGGTCTCTATATTTAGAAGAACACCTCTCTGTCACTTTATTTTTGTTTCCCTCTATGAAAAACAGGATTAATGCTTTTTCCATGACAAGCTGTAGTGGGTGTTAATTTACCTCATAAATTACCAGAAAATGATTAATAATGATATAATTATGAATTTGAGACAAAGGAGAAGGCTTTGCTATTAGACACTGCCTATTTATCTTACAGAGAAAAAAGACCAAATGACATGTTAAATATTAAGAAAAACTAATTATTGTCAGTTGTTTTCTCCTGAAATTCCTAAAGTATATTTTTTTGTTTTTTTTTCCCTAGAATCAATTCTGTTTATGGGAAGAGTGACAAATCCTGACACCCAGGAGATAAAAGGAAGAGATTTAGATTCACTGTGAATGAAAAGCACAGCCTCAGAATAAAAGATGATTTCTCAAAAATAGCTGATTGGCAAAATATCGTCATCTTGACAATATTTGCTCTATATCTTATGTCTTTTCTGTTTTAAACTGTGCCTGTAGTAATAGATATCTGTCTTGATGAATAAGTAAAATTAGGTATGCATTTGTTTCCATTCCTTCTGTATGTTTTAGAAAATCTATATGCATCTAAAACCTTGAGCGTACGTAAAATATTACCATTCATATGTTAGAACAATCCTGTCTATAATATCTTAAATACCAAATTCTTGTCTTAGATAGCAAATTTATTATTCCCTAAAATACTAGACTATTAGATTCAGGCATAGTACCATTTTCTAGCCATGGGGAAATAAGATAAAGAGACAATGGCCATGGTACATGCCTCTCTGGGGTGTCACTCAAGACACAGAGATCCAGTATTCCTTGCAATAGAGGAGCTTTGGGTATTTCACTAATCTTAACTTGTTATTTGACATGTTACATTTAATATTTATGTTGTTTCAGTACCTTTTGAAACATACCAGTTTTTTTTCTACTGATTTATGGTTTTAAAATGTACACAACATAGAAATGCTGAGCGCTTCTGTAAAGCATTCCTCTTTTTATAGGTGAAAGTGGCAGCATAATTAGCGTGACTCAGGAAGCTGAACTTCCACAATTTTACAATACTGAGCCAAGGAAGTGTTAGAGTCAAGATTGTGCACTATAAAGATTAAATGCAGATCCCTTCCCTTGAATACTCTGAAACATCACATCTAAATATCAAAAGCTAAAACTACATTCCAATATTACTTCATATAGCATGTTTCACAGTTTTTCCATTTTCAAGCTAATGATGTAAAATTCCTTTTTGTTTGTTTGTCTTGGCAATTTTGGCAGAGAGCTTAATGATAATAGCTGCACCTCAATGAGCCCTAATTTTGTGTTGGGCTCACTGAAGTAAGCACTTTTTACCTTATGTTAAATGTACTAAAATTTTTATGAAACAGCATTACCTAACTTCCTGATAAAGAAACTGAGATTCAAAAATGTTATAAAATTAGTCAAAGACACATAACTGATAAATATGGTGGGTAGATTTGAACTCAGAACTACTCGAGACTGACATTCAAAAATGTTATAAAATTAGTCAAAGATGCATAACTGATAAATATGGTGGGTAGATTTGAACTCAGAACTACTGGAGAGTGACATTGAAAAATGTTATAAAATTAGTCAAAGACACACAACTGATAAATATGGTGGGTAGATTTGAACTCAGAACTACTCAAGCTAGAAGTCTGTGACCTTAATTACTGAGTTATATTCCCTTTGCAGGGAAGGAAAAAGTAATTTTCTCTCTACTTCTCATAGCTTTGAGCTAGTATCCCTTGTAATAAAATACAGGATAGCCAGGTGTGGTGGCTCACATCTGTAATCTCAGCACTTTGAGAGGCTTAGGTGGGAGGATCGCTTGAGGCCAGGGGTTCAAGACCAGCCTGGGCAACATAGTGATATCCGGTCTACATAAAAATTAAAAATAATAGCCAGGTGTGGTGGCGCATGCCTGTGGTCCCAGCTACTCGAGAGGATAAGGCATGAGGATCACGTGAGTCCAGGAGGTTGAGGCTGCAGTAAACTATGATTATGCTACTGTACTGTAGTCTGGACAACAGAGTGAGTCCTCGTCTCAAAAAACAAAAGATTCACAAGAGAAAAACAGACATTTGTTAACATGTATACCACATGTACACATAGAAGACACCCAGGAAAAAATGAGTAAATCTCAAAGAAGTGGCTTAGAACTCTGGCTTACATAGCATCTTCGACAAAGAACAATACATGGTTGAAGAAATGACAAAGGAAAAGGACCTTGGATTTATAAGGGCAGTAAATTGTAGGAAGGCAAATATATGGTAGATAAAGGCTATTTTGTAAAATTTGTTATGTAGATTCCTGTGGTGATATCTCCAGGATGATAAGGGTCTTAAGTCATCTTCAGTGATCAAATTCTGTCCTACTTGGTAGAGAGAGGAGGAGGGATAACTTTGTGAATTTGTATTCTGTTTTTAGGCAAATTGTTTAGGCAAGGCAAATAACTTTTCCTGTATCTACTTCTTCTCAGTTGCCTTTAGCTCAAAATAACCCTTATGCTAAAGTGGCATCTTTTGGGGTGGCATATTCTGCTGCCCTCCACCTTCTATTTTAATTTTCAAAATCTAGGTATCCATCTACAGCAAAACCTACAGCAATACTCAAGACATTATGAAGCCAACTTTAGAATGAATTGTGATTGCTTAAAAATCATAACATAATTGAAAGCAATGTTCATTACTCTACTTTCAATTTGAGCATACTTAGATATAACACAGTAAATACTAATCTATATGTTAGTAATATGCATTTGTGGCATAAATTCCTCACAACATATCTGTTTTAAAAATATAAGTCTTTGTTTCAGGAAGGAGAGAATAATGAGTTAAGAGGATAGTAGTTTTATTCAGCTGTGGTCCAGATTCCTGTTTCTCTTGGGTTGGCTGAATTCTTCTGATCCTCTTTCATGCATTAAATGTCATGCTCTGGGGATTCATTCATTCATTCTACAAATTTTAATTGAGCTTCCACTATGTTCCAGGTAGTTTTCTAAGCACAAGGGATGTATTAGTGAGCAAATCTGACAAGGTCCTTGTCTTCCTGGAGCTGACATTTTACTGGTAGCAGTAAACCAGTGAACAAATACAAAAACAAGGTAATTTCAAATGGTAATAACTGATGACATTAATAAAGCAGAAGAAGAAAATAAGAGGGGTTCAATAATTGAGATGATGTAATAAGATCACTACCCAAGTTTCACTTTAAGTACATATTCTTACAGTGTGTTCCTAATGTATTTGTTTTCCTTAATAAGATTTGCTAAAAGTCTGCCACGAGTTCCCGACTGAGGATCCTGAAAGCATTATACAGAAGTTGGGTAATTTATTTTTCTGATTTCATGTTCTTCTTCCATTTGGCTTAAAAATGGGAGTGTCTTCCATAAGCTCATTGTGTGGATTCAAGATAAAAACCCCATTTTCTACCATGTTCTGGAAATACATTTGCCGAACTACTTCCAAAATTAAAACATTTAATTTTTTCCTTCAGTTGTAAGTAACTCAGTAGTTATTACAAGTTTGCATCATAAAGGTTACAAGTATATGGAATACATTTACAAAACATACATCTATTTATGAAGGAAAATAAGTATGAAATAATTTTCTTTGCTAAACTGTATGAAATCTGTAGGATTCACAACAGTCCATAATCAATATGGGATAAAATTACTGTCAATACCCCTTGTAAAAGTCCAGTACATCATATATAGGAAATATTTGTATTCCTCATGGAGGCAAAATAATTATTAAAATAGTAGTATTTCTTTTGGAAACTTTGGGTTTTATTGACTTCACATAGCTATAATTCATGGCGTATTCTAGAGGAGTTGTTACCAGACTGAACTTGGGTCTGCCTGCCTGGCACAGCAAGGCCAAACAATGACATTGGGATTTGCAAGAAGAAAAAGTGAGGCATTTATCGCAGGGTGGCAAGCAAGGAAAATCAGGCAGCTCATGCTTAAGATCTGAAATACCCAGTGGCTTAACTGTAAGAGTTTTTAAAGGCAGGGAGGCAGAGGTTACAGGCAAAGCTATAAATCAGTACATGGAGGCTATACGTTGGTTTGGCCTAAAAAGGTGGGACATCTCAAATCAGGTGAGTGGGGAGGGTGGCATGGCCCACAGATCACAGGTGGATGCAAATATTTTCTGATTTGTGATTGGTTTGGCTTTGTCTAAAAGTGTGGGTCAGCTGAAAGGAGAGTTGAGCTCTGGCCTGTGAGCATAATTTCCTTCAGGACCCTCAGGAAGAAATTTAGAACAAAGAATGACAGAATTTAGTCCTCTGTTCCACCCTATCTGAGATCTATGTGCCAGCAGATGGCTTTTCCATGTGGTGAGGGGTCCAGGTCTCTGAAAAACAACTCAGGGACATATGTGAAGACTTTACCTTTAATTTCTATAGAGAAGCAAACTCTGTGGCTCTAGCTTCCTTGGCTATTGTTTTCAGCTATTACAGCATTCTTGCTTATCAGGTTGCTCATTTACTTCTCAGGGCTAGGTTGGTGCCTGGAATTTCCCTGGAAGGAACTCAAAATTTTCCTTTATTTCCATGCCTTGGGGGTGGCAGGCCCGTAGGAGGGATCCCTGCTTCATCTCAGAGTCTGCCACATCACGCAGTACAACTGAAAAGCCAAAGACCTGAGAAAAGGAATAATTTCTTTCTTTGGAGAGGCTTATAAAATCTCCTGAATTGGGTAATGATGACATGGAAACCTTCAAAGGTACAGAGAAAACTTTAGGCAGGTTTCATTAAAAGTCTGTGCCTTGGACCTCTGGAAATAAGATACTTCCTCATTTTGTAGCCTTATACCATTGAAGCATACTCTATGAAGGACCAACCCCCTGAGCCATGGATTGGCCTGAGTCTGATTACAAGCATATGGTAGAAGTGTGGACCTACTTAATTTGTTTGCTTGCAAGAGCACTTAATTTTGTGATTCCTTCCTCCCCTTATTGTCATGGTTCCTCATATGATAATCTCTAAATCTGAAGCCTAAAATTCTAAATGTCAATAATCTAGTTTCTTTCTCCTTTTGATTCCTCAAGTGACCACCCTGATGATGTAAAGGAATTAAAAGATGACATATTTTTCACTGTCCAACATTATAATTTTTGGCTTGTCACATCAATTCTCTGGAGCTTCAATGCCCTCACCTATAAAATGAAGGATTGGTTGGACTAATCCTATTTCAAGTCTTTATTCCAAAGTTCTATCTTGGCAAACCTTGGGCTTCTCCTCAAAGACACATCTTTGAAATAATGTCTTTTGAGTTTTTATTGTCTATAAGCAGTTATTTTACAAAAAACAAAAGTACATTCTTTCACTCGTGTCTGTGTGAAGAGACCACTAAACAGGATTTGTGTGAGCAATAAAGCTGTTTATTTCACCTGGGTGCAGGTGGGCTGAGTCCGAAAAGAGAGTCAGTGAAGGTAGATAGGGGTGGGGCCGTTTTATAGGATTTGGGTAGGTAAAGGAAAAGAGGGGGTTGTTCTCTGGCAGGCAGGAGTAGGGGTCACAAGGTGCTCAGTAGGGGAGCTTTTGAGCCAGGATGAGCCAGGAGAAGGAATTTCACAAGGTAATGCTATCAGTTAAGGCAGAAACAGGCCATTTTCATTTCTTTTG
Source organism: Homo sapiens (assembly GCF_000001405.40). Taxonomy (NCBI): domain Eukaryota; kingdom Metazoa; phylum Chordata; class Mammalia; order Primates; family Hominidae; genus Homo; species Homo sapiens. Next base: position 167,436,828 of record NC_000003.12, on the reverse strand, counting down.
TGGTGGAATGTCATCAGTTAAGGCAGGAACCGGCCATCTGTATGTGGACGTGCAGGTCACAGGGGATATGATGGCTTAGCTTGGCCTCAGAGGCCTGACATTCCTGTCTTCTTATATTAATAAGAAAAATAAAATGAAATAGTGGTAAAAGGTTGGGGCGGCAAAAATTTTGGGGGATGGTATGGAGAGATAATGGGCGATGTTTCTCAGGGCTGCTTTGAGTGGGATTAGGGGTGGTGTGGGAACCTAGAGTGGGAGAGATTAAGCTGAAGGAAGATTCTGTGGTAAGGGGTGACATTGTGGGACTGTTAGAAGAAACATTTGTCATTTAGAATTATTGGTGATGGCCTGGATACGGTTTTGTAAGAATTGAAAAACTAAATGGAATAAGAGAAGGAGAAAAACTGGTATTAAAGGTCTAAGAATTGGGAGGACCCAGGACATCTAATTAGAGAGTGCCTAAGGAGATTCAGCATAGTCCTGCCAGCAAAAATTATTTATTTATTTCAAGAGTTAAGAGTGGCGGTTTGGGGATAGCAGCAGGAGATATCAGCTGTGATGGCTTGGAGAAACAGTGTAAACTGGCAGTGTAAACAAGAGCAGGGCATTTATGAGTAGTTGAGAATGGTGAATAGGAGTATGACTAGATGGAAGATAGTAGGGATGACAAGTTTTTTGGGGCACAGTCTAAGTTGGTCTGGTGTCTGGAATGAGACTGGGGCTTAATAAAAAGGAGCGTCCATACAGGAGCTCAAATGGGCTGTACCCTGTAGCATTCCAAGGACAGGCCTGAATTATGAGAAAAGAAAGAGGTAAAAGTATTGTCCAGTCCTTTTTAAATTGGTGGCTGAGCTTGGTGAGGTGTGTTTTTAAAAGACCATTAGTCCGTTCTACCTTTCCTGAAGACTGAGGACTGTAAGGGATATAAAGGTTTCACTGAATACCAAGAGCCTGAAAAACTGCTTGGCTGATTTGACTAATAAAGACTGGTCTACTATCGGACTGCATAGAGGTAGGAAGGCCAAACTGAGTAACTGTGTCTGACAGAAGGGAAGAAATGACCGTGGTGGCCTTCTTAGACCCTGTGGGAAAGGCCTCTACCTATCCAGTGAAAGTGTCTACCTAGACCAAGAGGTATTTCAGTTTCCTGACTCGGGGCATGTTGAGTAAAGCTAATTTGCCAGTCCTGGGTGGGGGCAAATCCCTGAGCTTGATGTGTAGGGAAGGGAGGGGGCCTGAATAATCCCTGAGAAGTAGTAGAATAGCAAATGGAACACTGAGAAGTTATTTCCTTGAGGATAGATTTCCATGATGGAAAGGAAATGAGAGGTTCTAAGAGGCGGGCTAGTGGCTTGTACTATAGCATAGCCTGCCTTTGCTGGTGTGTGGCGATTAGGCCTGGTGGAACTGCCATCAGTAAACCAAGTGTGATCAGGCTGAGAAACAGGGAAGAAGGAAATGTGGGGAAATGGGCTGAACGTCAGGTGGATCAGAGAGATGCAGTCATGAGGGTCAGGTGTGGTATCAGGAATAATGTGGGAGGTCGGATTGAAGTCCAGGCCAGGAACAATGGTAATTGTGGGAGACTCAACAAAGAGTGAATACAGCTGAAGGAGCCAGGAAGCAGAAAGTATATGCATCAGGTGTGAGGAAGAACATAGATTTTGGAAATTATGAGAGCTGTAGAGAGTGAGATGAGTATAGTTTGTGATTTTAAGGGCCTCTAAAAGTATTAGGGCAGCAGCAGCCACTGCACAGAGACATGACGGCCAGCCTAAAATAGTAAGGTCAAGTTGTTTGGACAAAAAGGCTACAGGACGCAATCCTGGTCCTTGTGTAAGAATTCCGACTGCATAGCCCTTCACTTCGGCTGTGTGTAATGAAAACGGTTGGGATGAGTCAGGGAGAGCTAGGGTGGGGGCAGTCTCTAAAGCTGTCTTCAAGGAATGGAAAGAGGAGTGGGGAAAGGATTTAGGATCTATGGGGTCAGCTAGGTTTCCTTTTGTGAGTTTATATAATGGTTTTGTTAGGATGGCAAAACCAGGTATCCAAAGGCAAAAGTATCCACATGCCTAGGAAGGAAAGGAGTTGTTGTTTTGTAGAAGGGATTGGGGTTTGGGAGTTTAGCCAGACATGATCAGCAGGGAGAGCACATGTGTTTTTCTGAGGATTATGCCGAGATAGGTAACAGATGAGGAAGAAATTTGGGCTTGACTAAAGTAATGGGGGCTGTCTGTGAAGCTTTGCAGCACTACAGCCTAGGTAATTTGCTGAGCTTGATGGGTGTCAGGGTCAGTCCAGGTGAAAGCAAAGAGAGGCTGGAGTGAAGGGTGCAAAGGAATAGTAAAGAAAGCATATTTGAGATCCAGAACAGAATAATGGATTGTGGAGAGAGGTATTGAGGATAGGAGAGTATATGGGTTTGGCACCATGGGGTGGATAGGCAAAACAATTTGGTTGATAAGGCATAGATCCTGAACTAGCTTGTAAGGCTTGTCTGGTTTTAGGACAGGTAAAATGGGGGAATTGCAAGGAGAGTTTATAGGCTTTAAAAGGCCATGCTGTTGCAGGCAAGTGATAACAGGCTTTAATCCTTTCAAAGCATGGTGTGGGATGGGATATTGGCATTAAGCGGGGTAAGGGGGATTAGGTTTTAATGAGATGGTAAGGGGTGCATGATTGGTCACCAAGGAGGGAGTAGAGGTATCTTATACTTGTGGGTTAAGGTAGGGGGATACAAGAGGAGGACACAAAGGAGGCTTTGGATTGGGAAGAAGGGCAGCAATGAGATGTAGCTGTACTCCAGGAATAGTCAGGGAAGCAGATAATTTAGTTAAAGTGTCTCAGCCTAATAAGGGAACTGGGCAGGTGGGGATAATTAAAAAGGAGTGCTTAAAAGAGTATTGTCTAAGTTGGCACCAGAGTCGGGGAGGTTTAAGAGGTTTAGAAGCCTGGCTGTCAATACCCACAACAGTTATGGAGGTAAGGGAAACAGGCCCTTGAAAAGAGGGTATTGTGGAGTGAGTAGCCTCCATATTGATTAAGAAGAGGATGGACTTACCTTCCTCTGTGAGAGTTACCTAAAGCTCGGCGTCCGTGATGGTCTACGGGGCTTCTGAGGCGATCGGGCGGCGTCAGTCTTCAGCCGCTAAGCCAAGAAGATCTGGGAAGGAGTCAGGCAGAGAGCCTTGGGCCAGAGTTCCAGGGGCTCTGGGAGTGGCTGCCAGGTGAGTTGAACAGTCCAATTTCCAGTGGGGTCCTGCACAGATGGGACACGGCTTAGGAGGAATCCTGGGCTGCGGGCATTCCTTGGCCTGGTGGCCAGATTTCTGGCACTTGTAGCAAGCTCCTGGGGGAGGCAGTTCTGGAGGAACACCTGGCCACTGCGGTTTAGGCGTTTGGAAGTTCTTGTGTGCTGGAGATGTGGCTGGGGTTTGTCTCACAGTGGAGGCAAGGAATTGCAACTCAGAAATATGTTGCTACTTGGCTGCCTCTACTCTGTTATTGTACACCTTGAAGGCAAGGTTAATTAAGTCCTGTTGTGGGGTTTGAGGGCTGGAATTTAATTTTTGGAGTTTTATTTAATGTCGGGAGCAGATTGGGTAATAAGATGTATATTGAGAATAAGACGGCCTTTTGACCTTTTAGGGTCTAGGGCTGTAAAGCGTCTCAGGGTTGCTGCCAAACGAGCCATGAACTGGGCTGGATTTTTATATTTGATGAAAAACAGCCTAAACGCTATCTGATTTGGGATAAAGAAAAAGGAGTATTAACCTTGACTATGCCTTTAGCTCCAGCCACCTTTTTAAGAGTAAATTGCTGGGCAGGTGGGGGAGGGCTAGTCAGGGAACGAGACTGTAAGCCAGACGGGGTGTGAGGAGGGGAGGTGATAAAAGGATTATAGGGTGAAGGAGTGGAGGCTGAGGAAGAATTAGGACCTAGCTCAGCCTGGTGAGGAGGGGAGAGGTCAGATGGGTCTATAGAAAAGGAAGATTAGAAAGACTCAGCGACACTTGGCGTTGGGACAGAGGGGACAGGTGGGAGGGGAAGAAGGAAGATTTGGGGTGAGTTGCATTGGGAACAGAGACTAGAGAGGGACTGATGTGTAAAAGAATGCCTGGACATCAGCCACCTCAGACCATTTGCCTATTTTATGACAAGGATTATTTAGATCTTGTAGGATGGAAAAATTGAAAGTGCCATTTTCTGGCTATTTGGAACTACTGTCGAGTTTGTATTGGGGTCAAGCGGCATTGCAGAAGAAAATAAGATGCTTAGATTTTAGGTCAGGTGAGAGTTGAAGAGGTATTAAGTTCTTAAGAACACAGGCTAAGGGAGAAGAAGGAGGAATGGAAGGTGGAAGCTTGTCCATAGTGAAGGAGGCAAGCCCAGAGAAAAGAGAGTAGAGACACAGAGAAGGGATGGGGGGTTATTGCCCTCCAGAAAAGAAGAGAAGGGGTTGGGGCATGGAAATAAGGGGTTGGGGTGCAGAGATAAGAGGTTGGGACACAGAAATAAGGGATTAGGTTGCAGAGATAAGAGGTTGGGGCACAGAAATAAGGGATCGGGGCACAGAGATAAGAGGTTGGGGTTCCTGCCTCTCCCCCAGAAAAGCGGTACTTGCCGCTAAGGGTGAAGGAGAAGGGGTTGAGAGGTTCTTGCCCCTCCTCCAGAAAAGCAGGACTTGCCACAAAGGGTGAAGGACAAAGGCAAGCATCCTTGCATGGTCTGACACCTCTGAAACCTGGGTGAATAATCAGAGAGGTGTCCCACAATGATTAAACACCAAGGGAAGGCTGCCTTCCCTAGTCCGTGACCAGCACCGGAGCTTTGGGTCCAGGGATAAAACGTGTCTCCTTTGTCTCTACCAGAAAATGAAAGGGATTGAAATTAAGAGAAGGGAGAGATTGAAGTGTGGCACCAAGATTGAAAGGAGAAAGAGGTTGAGGGATAGTGAGAGAGGTTGGAGAAGAGAGTAAAAAGAGGCTGCTTACTGGATTTAAAATTGGCAAGATGTTCCTTGGGCTGGTTGGTCTGAGGACCAGAGGTCGTAGGTGGATATTTCTCAAGGAGCAAAGAGCAGGAGGACAGGGGATTGATCTCCCAAGGGAGGTCCCCCGATCTGAGTCACGGCACCAAATTTCACTCTCTTCAGTGTGAAGAGACCCCTAAACAGGCTTTGTGTGAGCAATAAAGCTGTTTGTTTCACCTGGGTGCAGGTGGGCTGAGTCCAAAAAGAGAGTCAGTGAAGGGAGATAGGGGTGGGGCCGTTCTATAGGATTTGGGTAGGTAAAGGAAAGGGGGGTTGTTCTCTGGCAGGCAGGAGTGGGGGTCACAAGGTGCTCAGTAGGGGAGCTTTTGAGCCAGGGTAAGCCAGGAGAAGGACTTTCACAAGATAATGCCATCAATTAAGGAAGGAAACAGGCCATTTTCATTTGTTTTATGGTGGAATGTCATCAGTTAAGGCAGGAACTGGCCATCTGGATGTGTACGTGCAGGTCACAGGGGATATGATGGCTTAGCTTGGGCTCAGAGGCCTGACACATTCCAGATGTATTTCTCACAAAGATCTTGATCTTTTACATTCTTTATTAATAGTTGTCTCTTTATAGGTTTGAGATTTATTTAAAAACAGCCTATGTATATTTTTACTCATGTCCATGTGTACAGACCACCAAACAGGCTTTGTGTGAGCAATAAACCTTTTTAATCTCCTGGGTGCAGGCAGGCTGAGTCTGAAAAGAGAGTCAGTGAAGGGAGATAGGGGTGGGGCCATTTTTTAAGATTTGGGTAGGTAGTGGAACATTACAGTCAAAAGGGGTTGTTCTCTGGCTGGCAGGTGTGGGGGTCACAAGGTGCTCAGAAGGGGACTTTTTGAGCCAGGAAGAGCCAGGAGAAGGAATTTCACAAGTTAATGTCATCAGTTAAGGCAGGTACCGGCCATTTTCACTTCTTTTGTGATTCTTCACTTGCTTTGGGGCATCTGGACATATATGTGCAGGTCACAGGGGATACGATGGCTTAGCTTGGGCTCAGAGGCCTGCATTCCTGACTTCTTATATTAATAAGAAAAATAACATAAAATAGTATTGAAGTGTTAGGGCAGCGAAAAAAATTTTTTTGGGGGGTGGTATGGAGAGATAATGGACGATGTGTCTCAGGGCTGCTTCAAGCGGGATTAGGAGCAGCCTGGGAACCTACAGTGGGAGTGGTCAAGTTGAAGGAGGATTTTTTTGTAAGGTGTGATATTGTGGGGTTGTTTGAAGGAGGATTTGTCATATAGAATGATTTGTGATGGCCTGGATATGGTTTTGGATGAATTGAGAAACTAAACAGAAGATACAAGGTCCGAATAATAGAAGGAGAAAAATAGGTATTAAAGGACTGAGAATTGGGAGGACCCAAGACATCCAATTAGAGAGTTCCCAAGGGGGTTCAGCGTAATTACTTGCTTGGTTGGTGAGTTTTTGGGCTCTATCCTTGAGTTTTTTTATGTTGTCATACACCTGGCCAGATTTATGTAGGTAAAAACAACACTCTCCATTAAAAAATACACAGCGTCCTTCTTTTTCAGCAGTGAGTAAGTCAAGGCCTCGGCAGTTTTGGAGGACAACTGCAGCTAAAGAGTCAACTTGGGCCTGGAGGACTGAGAAAAGTTTGTGATATGTCTGTGCTGCTAACAGAGAAGTCATTAGAGAGGCTACGGAAGGTCATGACAGAGGTTGAAATGCCTGCTATTCCAGTACAGAGAGCAATAGTGGAGGCAGAAAGTCCAAACCGACAAGCAAGGGAATTAGTGGAATAACCATTTTTTGTCATGTCGGTGTCCATGAGGGGAACAGGGAGCTCTTCAGTCCCATTTTCAAATTGAATTTGGGGATTATGGAAAACTAGTGTGCATGTGCCTGTCCAATTAGCAGGTAGACACATGTAGGTAGAGGATCCACAAAGGAAGAAGAGACCTGTGCAAGGCAAAACTGGAAATGCAAAGTAAAAAGATGAGAAGGAGTGCTGAAAGGGGCGTCTTGTACCCAGACTCTTAGGGATGCAGCTAGGGCGGCAGCCATCAGAGGTTGTAACGGGGACTGATGGGGTAACTGCATAGAGGGTGAGGTTCGATTTTCATGGTGTGTGAGAAAACGCTGAGTGTCTATGAGCAATCTTTCACTGTTATTTATGGGGCTGGATATAAGTAAACAAGAAGCGGGCCTGGGAGGAGAGTCTGATGAGCAAGGGGAAGGTAGCCAAGGATGGAGTGAAATACAGGGTAAGTGTCTTCCTAAGGAATAATTACTGCTATTGTTTTTAAGTTTGCCAGTATTGATAGAGGGCTTTTCTGTACAGAGCTGGAAGGCTCCAATTGTTTCAGTGATGTGTGTAGTTGGGCTTTGGAGATGAAGAGGGAAGGAACATCAAGAAGGTGAAAGGTTACCCAGGGGAATTCCAGTGGGCCTTTGCTGAGAGATACATAAAGGAGCGGCCACAGGAATAGTAGTTTGTGTTGTGAGAGGTCCAAATATGGGGGGAGTAGAGTTGATATAAGGAGAAAGGTTTTTTAAGTAAGTGCAGAGGAGGGCTGCAGCTTGCTGATGTGAAATGTCTGGGGATGTCTTGCTGGACCTGTCTAGAAAGTAAATGAGTTCTTCAGGAGGGTAAAGGTGAGGGCTGTTAAAGGAAGTTCAGAGGTATAAGGAGACAGGAGATATTGCCCAGTCTGTATGTAAGGCAGGGACAGCTGTGTAGATGCTGGAAGAAAGGGAAAGGCAAAGCCAGCAATTGTTCACTAAGGAGGGATTAGAAACGGCTAGGAGAGAGTGAGTAAGGTTGATAGTGTGGTAGAGATAGCTGGGGAGAGGTAGAGGGTGGCGTGAGAATGAGAATAAGAGTGAGTATAAAAGTAAAGAATAGAACTTTATCAAGGTGAAAGTATTGGAGGGTGCCCTGCCAGCAAAGATCATCTATCTACTCTAAGAGGGAGTTAAGAGTGGTTGTTGGGGACAGCACCAGGAGATATCAGCTGTGATGGCTTGGAGAAACAGCATAAACTGGCAGTGTAAACAAGAGTAGGCATTTATGAATAGTTGAGAATGGTGAATAGGAGTATGACTAGACAGAGACAGTAGGGATGACTAGATTTTGGGGCTCAGTCCAAGTAGTGGGGGTGACTGGATAAAGCCCTTTGCAAAAAGTAGGGTAAGGACAAACAGACCTAATAGAATGAAGGGATGTATTAGGCTCATAAGTGTTATTACTCTTCTTCAGAAATGCGAGTGAGTTTAAGGGAAGTAGGAGAGAGTACTTGTGATTTCCAGGAGGAAGAAGAGAAATTAGGCTGGCTGTCCAATGGACACAGCTTTATTCTGGAATGGCGAACCCAGTGGGGAGGATCCTGCAGGTGGAAGGCAGTTGGGGTACTATAGATGACTAAGTAGGGTCCGTTCCATCAAGGTTGTAGAGTTTGAGGGGTCAGATTCTTAACAAGAACTGATCATCCAGCTAGAGTGTCTTCATATGGCTGAGAATCTGGAGTAGGTAAGAGAAGATTAGCAGCCTGGTGAATTTCCTGTCTAGCCTGCTGGAGGACTGGAAGATAGTCTCCTAGAGGGCTGGTGTCTGGGACCTGGTTGGGACCGAGCAAGAAAGTGCATCCATATAAAAGTTCAAATGGACTGCACCCTGTAGCACCTTGAGGACAAGCTCTAATTCTGAGAAGGGCAAGAGGTAAAAGTACTGTCCAGCCCTTTTTAAGTTGGAGGCTGAGCATGGTGAGGTGTGTCTTTAAAAGACCATTAGTCCACTCTACCTTTCCTGAAGATTGAGGACAGTAAGGGATATGAAGATTCCACTGAATACCAAGAGTCTGAGAAACTGCTTGGGTGATTTGACTAGTAAAGGCCCGTCCATTATCAGACTGTATAGAGGTGGGAAGGCCAAACCAAGGAATTATGCCTGACAGAAGGGAAGAAATGACCATGGTGACCCTGTGGGAAAGACCTCTACCCATCCAGTGAAGGTGTCTACCAAGACCAAGAGGTATTTTAGTTTCCTGACTTGGGGCATGTGAGTAAAGTCAATTTGCCAGTCCTGGGCAGGGGCAAATCTCTGAGCTTGATGTGTACGGATGGGAGGGGGCCTGAACAATCCCTGAGGGGTAGTAGAATAGCAGATGGAACACTGAGAAGTGATTTCCTTGAGTATAGATTTCCATGATGGAAAGGAAGTGAGAGGTTCTAAGAGACAGGCTAGCAGCTTGTAACCTACATGGAAAAGGTTATGAAATGATGAAAGAATAGAATGGGCCTGTGAGGCTGGAAGGAGATATTTTCCTTGATCCAAGAACCATTTGCCTTTTGTGGGAAGAGAATGATAGGTGGAAGTTTCAGTGGGGGAGTAGGTGGGAGTGATTGATGAGAAGGAGAAAAACTGGCCATAAGGGATAGAAGTTGAAACGCTAGCTGCTTCTTTAGCTAGCTACCTTACCAGCATAAGCATTGCCTAGAGCAATGGGATCTGATGCCTTTTGATGGCCCTTGCAGTGAATGACTCCAGCTTCCTTTGGGAGTAAAACGGCTTTGAGATGAGTTTTTATTAAAGAGGCATTAATGATGGAGGACCATTGTGTAGTGAGGAAACCTCTTTCTGCCCATATAACAGCATGGTGGTGCAGGATATGGAAGGCGTGTTTAGAGTCAGTATAAATATTGATGTGTAGTCCCTTTGCAAGAGTAAGGGGCTGAGTTAAGGCAATGAGTTTGGCTTGCTGAGAGGTAGTGGAGGGGGGCAGAGCGGTAGCCTCAATGATAGATGTGGAAGACACTATAGCATAGCCTGCCTTTGCTGGTGAGTGGCAATTAGGCCTGGTGGAGCTGCCATCAATAAACCAAATGTGATCAGGGTGAGGAACAGGAAAGAAGGAAATATGGGGAAATGGGGTGAATGTCAGGTGGATCAGACAGATACAGTCATGGGGGTCAGGTGTGGCATCCAGAATAATGTGGAAGGCCAGATTGAAGTCCAGGCCAGGAACAATGCTAATTGTGGGAGATTCAACAAGGAGCGAATATAGCTGAAGGAGCCACAGAGCAGAAAGTATATGCATCAGGTGTGAGGAAGAAAATAGATTTTGGAAGTTATGAGAGCTGTGGAGAGTGAGTTGAGCACAGTTTGTGATTTTGAGGGCCTCTAAAAGTATTAGGGTGGCAGCAGCTGCTGCACGGAGACATGATGGCCAGTCTAAAACAGTAAGGTCAAGTTGTTTGGACAAAAAGGCTATAGGGCATGGTCCTGGTCCTTGTGTAAGAATTCCAACTCCACAGTCCTGCACTTTGGCTGTGTGTAGTGAAAAGGGTTGGGATGAGTCAGGGAGAGCTAGTGTGGCAGCAGTCTCTAAAGCTGTGTTCAAGGAATGGAAAAGAGGAGTGGGGAAAGGATTTAGGATCTATGGGGTCAGCTAGGTTTCCTTTTGTGAGTTTATATAATGGTTTTGTTAGGATGGCAAAACCAGCTATCCAAAGGCGAAAGTATCCAACCATGCCTAGTAAGGAAAGGAGTTGTTGTTTTGTAGAAGGTGCTGGGGTTTGAGAGATCAGTAGGACATGATTGGCAGGGAGAGCAGTGTGTTTTTATGAAGAATTATGCCAAGGTAAGTAATGGATGGAGAAGAAATTTGAGCTTCAGAGGGGGATAACCGATATGCTTTGGAGAATAAATATTGAAGGAGCAGGAGGGCGTCTTGTTGGGAAGATTGAAAGGAGGGGCTACAAAGTAGAAGGTCATCAATATATTGAATAAGGTGAGAAGCAGAGGGGTGGAAAGAAAGTAAATCATGAGAAAGAGCTTGGCTGAGGTAATGAGAGCTGTCCCTGAAGCCTTGCGGCAGCACAGCCCAGGTAAGCTGCTGGGACTGGTGGGTGTCAGGATCAGTCCAGGTAAAAGCAAAGAGCGGCTGGGATGAGGGGTGCAGGGGAATAGTGAAAAAAGCATCTTTAAGATCAAGAATGGAATAGTGAGTTGTGGAGGAAGGCATTGAGGACAAAAGAGTATACGGGTTGGGCACTACAGGGTGGACAGGCAAAACAATTTGGTTGATAAGGCGCAGATCCTGAACTAACCTATAAGACTTGTCCGGTTTTTGGACAGGTAAAATGGAGTTGAAAGGAGAGTTTATAGGTTTTAGAAGCCCATGCTGTAGCAGGCAAGTGATAACAGGCTTTAATCCTTTTAAAGTGTGCTGTGGATGGGATATTGGTGTTGAGTGGGGTAACGGTGATTAGGTTTTAATGGGATAGTAATGGGCATGTGATCAGTTGCCAGGGAGGGAGTAGAGCTGTCCCATACTTGTGGGTTAAGGTGGGGGGATATGAGAGGAAGACGCAAAGGAGACTTTGGGTTGGGAAGAAGGGTGACAATGAGATGTGGCTGTAGTCCAGGAATAGTCAGTGAATCAGATAATTTGGTTAAAATATCTTGGCCTAATAAGGGAGCTGGGCAGGTGGGGATAACTAAAAAAGATTGCATAAAAGAATGTTGTCCAAGATGGCACTAGAGTGGGGGAGTTTTAAGGGATTTTGAAGCTTGGCCATCGATACCCACAACAGTTATGGGGGCAAGTGAAACAGGCCTTTGCAAAGAAGGTAATGTGGAGTGGGTAGCCCCCATAGCAATTAAACAGGGGATGGACTTACCCTCCACTGTGAGAGTTACCCAAAGCCTGGCATCCGTGATGGTCCAGGGGGCTTCCAAGATGATTGGACAGCGTCAGTCTTCAGCCACTAAGCCAAGCAGATCTGGGAAGGAGTCAGTCAGAAAGCCTTGGGCTAGAGTTTTAGGGGCTCTAGGAGTGGCTGCTGGGTGAGCTAGGCAGTCTGATTTCGAGTGGGTCCCTGCACAGATGGGACACAGCTTGGGAGGAATCCTGGGCTGCAGGCATTCCTTGACCCAGTGGCCAGATTTCTGACACTTGAAGCAAGATCCTGATGGAGGAAGTCCTGTAGGAATGCTTGACTGCTGCAGCTTAGGCATGTGCAGCTTAGGCATTTTGAAGTTCTTGTGTGATGGAGGTGTGGCTGGGTTTTTTCTCACAGCAGAGGCAAATAATTGTAACTCAGAAATGCGTTGCTGTCTGGCTGCCTCCTCTCTATTATTGTACACCTTGAAGGTGAGGTTGATTAATTCCTGTTGTGGGGTTTGAGGGCTGGATTCTAATTTTTGAAGCTTTTTTCTAATGTCAGGAGATGACTGGGTGATAAAATTCATATTTAGAATGAGACAGCCTTCTGACACTTCAGGGTCTAGGGCTGTAAAGCATCTCAGGGTTGCTGCCAAATGAGCCATGAACTGGGCTGGGTTTTCGTCTTTACCTTGGGTAGTTTCTTTAAGCTTGTCATAATTAACAGCTTTGTAAGCTGCCTTTTAAAGCCTTTCAACTAGGCAGGAAATCATGTAATCTCGCCTAGCTATACCTGGGGAATCTGCCTAATAGTTCCATTGGGGATCCTCTTGGGGAACTGCTCTAATGCCTTCCTGGAGGTCTGGCTCATGGAGCTGGCAGTTGTCAGTGTGAGATTGGGCCAGAGAAAAACCTCTTTCCCATTCATCTGGGGAGAGGGTAGAAGTTAGGATGACATTTAAGTCACTCCAGGTTAAATTGTAGGACAGAGTTAGATGTTGGAATTCCTGTATATATTTAGTGGGGCCTGATGAGAAAGAGCCTAAACTCCAACTGATCTGAGAGAGGTCTGATAGAGAAAAAGGCACATGTATCCTGACTATGCCTTCAGTTCCAGCCATCTCTCTAAAAGGAAATTTTTGGGCAGGTGGGGAACAGCTAGTCACAGAACCAAACTGTAAGCTGGACTGGGTGTGAGGAGGGGAGGTGATAGAAGGAGTATAGGGTGGAGGAGAGGAGACTGAGGAAGAATTGGGACTTGGCTCGGCCTGGCGATGAGCAGCCTGGGGAGGAGGGGAGAGGTCAGATGGGTCTGTAGAAAACGAAGATTGGAAAGACTCAGCTACACTTGGGGTTGGGACTGAGGCGACAGGTGGGAGGGAAAGAAGGAGGATTTGGGAGGAATCACATTGGGAACACGGACTAGGGAGGGAACAAAGTGTGAAAAATGCCTAGATGTAAGGCACCTCAGACCATTTGCCCATTTTTCAACAAAAATTAGCTAGGTCTTCTAAGATAGAGAAATTGAAAGTGCCATTTTCTGTCCATTTAGAGCAATTGTCAAGTTTGTATTGGGGCCAAGCGGTATTGCAGAAGAAAATAAGGCATTTAGGTTTTAGGTCAGGTGTGAGTTGAAGAGGTTTTAAGTTTTTGAGAACACAGGCTAAGGGAGAAGAGGGAGGAATAGAGGGTGGAAGTTTGCCCATAGTGAAGGAGGCAAGCCCTGAGAAAAGAGAGGGTAGAGACATGGAGAGAAGGGGTGGGGGATTCTTGCCCCCCAGGAAAGTGAGGAGAAAAGAGAGGGTAGAGACACGGAGAGAAGGGGCAGGGGGTGATTGCCCCCCAAAAAAGTGGTGCTTGCCACTAAGGGTAAAGGACCAAGGCAGGCATCCCTGTGGTGATCAGACACCTCTGAAATGTGGGTGAATAATCAAGCAGGTGTCCCCACAGTGATTAAACATCAAGGGAAGACTGTCTTCCCGAGTCCGTGACCGGTGCCAGAGTTTTGGGTTCACGGATAAAACGTGTCTCCTCTGATGCTACCGCAAAAGGAAAGGAACTAAAATTAAGAGAAGGGAGAGATTGAAGGATGGCGCCAAGATTGAAAGGAGAAAGAGGTTGAGGGATAATGAGAGAGGTTGGAGAAGAGAGTAAAAAGAGGCCACTTACCCAATTTAAAATTGGTGAGATGTTCCCTGAGCTGGTTGGTCTGAGGACCTGAGGTCATAGGTGGATCTTTCTCACGGAGCAAAGAGCAGGAGGACAGGGGATTGATCTCCTAAGGGAGGTCCCCCGATCCAAGTCACGGCACCAAATTTCACTCACATCCATGTGAAGAGACCACCAAACAGGCTTTGTGTGAGCAATAAAGCTTTTTAATCTCCTGGGTGCAGGCAGGCTAAGTCCGAAAACAGAGTCAGCAAAGGGAGATATGGGTGGGGCCGTTTTGTAAGATTTGTGTAGGTAGTGGAAAATTACAGTCAAAGGGGGTTATTCTCTGGCTGGCAGGGGTGGGGATCACAAGGTGCTCAGCGGGGGAGCTTTTGAGCCAGGATGAGCCAGGAGAAGGAATTTCACAAGGTAATGTCATCAGTTAAGGTAGGGAACCAGCCATTTTCACTTCTTTTGTGGTGGAATGTTATCAGTTAAGGCAGGAACTGGCCATTTTCACTCCTTTTGTGATCTTCACTTGCTTCAGGCCATCTGGACATATGTACATGCAGGTCACAGGGGATACGATGGCTTAGCTTGGGCTCAGAGGCCTGACATGTATGTGTATATGTATACGCACACACACACACACACATATATATGTATATACAATTTTACTTTTGTGTCAGAGATCTATATCTAGTAAAGCTTTTTGGCTGCCGTTTTGCAATGTAGAGCTGTTGCTGGGCAGTGGTGGGCTCACCAGGAAATTATATTCATCTACACTTGCCTTTACGCAAGTGGAACTTTATAATTGGTTCTCATCAATGGAATGTAGTAGAGATGAATGTATCACTTGTGAGCCCAAATGATTAAGAAACAAGTGTGCCTCCCTAATTGTTCCCTTCTCTGGTACCAGCTTGATGCCAGTGCTCAAGGTGACCCTGTAAGCCATAGTTAGAAGATGACAGAATTTTACTAGTTTTGTGTGTCACAAAGCCCCTATGCAGCTTTGGCTAAAACGAATCAGTCATACCTGCATTGGACTTTAATCTGAGAAAGTTATATTTTCATTGCTATTTTGGGGGCTGTTTTGGTGACAGTAGTGGATGGTAATTTGGTATTTTCAATAGGGGCTTCTATACACAATGCAAAATATGTGGCATAATTTGAAGTTGGAGAGCCATAACAAGAACAAAAACAAAGAAATAGCAGGTTAGAAGGCAGGAAATCTTATTTAGTTGTGGAGCTATCTGGTAAAATTTTTGCCTGTGATAATTTGGAAACACACCATGTGAATACTGACCCAGTATCCAGCCAGAGACTGCATTTCCCATCTCCCTTGAACCTGGTGGACTGCTTGACCAGTTCTCACCAATGAAGTATAAACAGAAATGATATTTGTTACTTCTGGTTATAGTAGTTAGGAAGAGAATTTGCCTACTCTTCTTTTTCTTTTGTCCATTCCATTAGCTGGATTTCAGCATTTTAAGGGTGATCATGGAAGCCCTGTATGGAAGATGGCAGAGGCTGCACTAGCCATGGTCCCTGAATGTTTGCATGGATGACATCCATTCTATCCCCTGTGTCAGCACCACTGACCAAGGATTCCAGCAACAAATACACCTTATGGTGTTAGGCTATAGGAACTAGATAGCTAGTATTCATATAAGTAATACAATTATATTCTTTATACATGTTTTAAATATATTAGCATGTAGTGTATGTTATCCTAGTTCTGGACATGGTAAAACAAAGTTCTGGAATACTTATTAAATTTGCCTAATTCTGTGAAAGAAGATCATGAATGATATTTCAGTGTATTTGCCTATGAAAATCACTCAGATCCATAATAATAATGTATCTGCATCAAAGAGAAGAAAGAACAGAACATAGAAAGCCCCACTAATGGGATGCTTTGCTGTCTACCCCCATACAGGTCTCTTGGTTGAAATTCTTTCCATAAGAAAAAGGCAACATTTACCTTCTCATTTCTGTCTCTCTCTCTGTCTGTCTCTCTCTCTCTCTGTGTGTGTGTGTGTGTGTGTGTGTGTGTGTGGTGGAAATGAAGTGGCATCTTTTAAAAATATTTATCTTGAACAAATTTTTGACTAATATAAAAAATTTTGCGAGGAATGAAGACATTGCTTTGCCAATGATATTTAAAATCATGTGCTTAGTGCTCCACAGAAAACTACAGAAGAAAAGCTGATCTGAGCAAGTTCTCAACTGGCATCTGTGGAGACCAAAACAGATTTTCTGTTAGATTATATTCACATATTAGATTTGAATCATTTGATGTGCATTGGTTATTACAGAGCAAATTTTCTGTAATAAGCTAACTTTTTAGCAATTAACAATAGCTAATATTTAGAGAGACTTACCATTTCTGAGTAATATATACAGTGTCTTACATAAACCTCACCTCTCTGTCACCCTTTATAAAATGAGGAGATTGATTTTCCACAAAGCTAAGGAACTTTGCTTCAGGACAAATGGCAGAATTGGTCGTTGAACTCTGGTTCTGTGTCTCAAGATCTCATCTCCAATCACTAAGCCAGTAATTCTCACCCTTTGCTGTGTATCAGAGTCACTTGGAGGGCTTGCAACATGGCAAAACCCTGTCTCTACTAAAAAATACAAAATTTAGCCAGGCATGGTGGTGGGCACCTGTAATCCCAGCTACTCGGGAGGCTGAGGCAGGGAGAATTGCTTGAATCCGGGAGGCGGAGGTTGCAGAGACTGGAGATGGCACCACTGCACTCCAGCCTGGGCCACAGAACAAGACTCCATCAAAAAAAAAAAAAAAAAAAAAACCCACAGATTGCTATTCCCCAATCCCCACATTTCTCATTTGGCATGTCTGGGATGTGTCCTAAGAATCTGCATTTCTAAAAAGTTTCTAGGAGATGCTTGTGCTACTGGTTTGGGAACCACACTTTGAGAACAACTGAAATGAGGTATATTGCGTCTCTCATCTTATCATATACATATACATATATACATATATGTATATATGTATATATATTTTTTTGCTATACTCAAAATGATCTAATAATCAGTGATAGAAAAAAAGCCACCAGAGTACAAAATTTAATGAAAACAAATTTAATTAGAAAAGATTGCATTAAAAATCTATATGAGGCCAGGCATGGTTGCTCACGCCTGTAATCCCAGCATTTTGGGAGGCCTAGGCGAGAGGATTGCTTGAGTCGGGGAATTTGAAACCATCCTGTACAACATAGTGAGACCTCGTCTCTACCAGAAAAACCCCCAAAATTATGCAGGTGTGGTGTTTCACATGTATAGTCCCAGCTGTTTGGGAATCTGAGGTGAGAGGATTGCTTGATCCTGGTAAGTTGAGGCTGCAATGAGCCGTGTTTGTACCACTGCACTCTAGTCTGAGCAATAGAGTGACATCATGTCTCAAAAAAAAATCCATATGAAAGAATGTAAATAAATGATAAAGATGATGATTACTTATTGTATGAAGAATAAAAGCAAGACTCTTTAGCCAATATTCAAAGCCTTCTATAATTTTATCCCACATTTCTAGACCTCATCTTCACTCATCTGTGCTTGGTATACAACACACCCCCAATCTCCCACGTTGGATGACTGTTTAAGCTGCTTCCTCTGCCTTGGGATGCTTTTCTTTCCCGTTCTGCAAAATTTGTCTGAAAAAACTCTAATTTGGGTTCAAGACCTAACTTAAATGTTTCCTTTCCAAATAAGTCATCCAAGGTGTTGTCAACTTTACTTCTTCTAACACTTCCCTCTATTTCATAATAGTTATTTTTTGAGCTGCTCATACCACAATGAGACAAGAATGAATAATATCTTCTTTTTAACTGCATCATAAGGGGATCTTATCGTCTTTACATTTCCCATAAGATCTAGGACTCTGATGCATCCTGGAAATACTGTTCAGCAGTGGGTTATCAAATTGAAGTTGTCAAATACAAAATCAGATCAAGTTAGGAAAAACTTAGTTTATTGTCAAACAGAAAGTATACATCGTGATCTGGGAGATTTCAAATGACTTGATAAGAGGCTTGCCTTACGGCAATTACAGCACAGTTTTTACAGCATAAAGGAAAAACTATTTTTGACTGTTTTTTTTTTGTGATAGACTTATACATTAACATTCTTTTCAAGGCAAACAGGGCTGTTTAGTTTCACTGAATCATGCTGATAAGGATGCAAAGCTTATGTTTTGTGTTTATAATTGAAGATACCATTTTGGGGAATCAGATTGACTTAAATTTTGGCTACGTGGTTATAGGAAGTTGACCTTGGGGTATGTCTAAATTGTGGCTTCCATTTTTATTTTTCTTTAACAAAGTACATAAAGAAAATGTGGCATATATACACCATGGAATACTATGCAGCCATAAAAAAGAATGAGTTCGTATCCTCTGCAGGGACATGGATGAAGCTGGAAACCATCATCCTCGGCAAACTAACACAGGACCAGAAAACCAAACACTGCACGTTCTCATTCATAAGTGGGAGCTGAAAAATTAGAACACATGGACACAGGGAGGGAAATATCACACACTGGGGCCTGTTGGGGTTGGGGAGCAGGGGGAGGGAGAGTATTAGGACAAATACCTAATGCATGTGGAGCTTAAAACCTAGATGACGGGTTGATAGGTGCAGCAAACCACCATGGCACATGTATATCTATGTAACCTGCATGTTCAGCACATGTATCCCAGAACTTAAAGTAAAATTTAAAAAAAAAGTAAATAAAAAACTTTGTTTACCAATTCAGGTACATGTTGGCCTTATTAGTCTGTATAAGGGCCCAAAAGTTATAGATCATTGTATAACTTAGGACATCTTTCAACTGTAACAGTGACTCAAAAGTGATCCCCAAAATGACTTTAAAAGGACAAAAGTTTACTTTGTCAGGTAAAAGAAGTCTCAGTACAGTGGTTTGGCAGTTATCAGAGATTCAATCCCCTTTAGTAACACTATCCCTATGGTGTTGTTTTTATGCTCATGGTCCGAGGTGGTCTTTGGAGCCCCAGTCATCAAATCAATATTCTAAGAAGCAAGGTGGAAGCACAAGAGAAAGGTTCATATCCTTCCTTTAGGAGATTTCAAAGCATCCCATACAAAACCTACCCTTACAACACATTGGCAGTTCCTAGTCACATCATTACTCCTAAACTTGGTGGGGTGTGGGGTGGGGGGGAGGCTAGGCAATGTACAAAGCTGAAAATAATCAGGGTTTAATTAACTTGAGAGAATGCAGGAATGGGGATTTGATAGGCAACATGCCAAATAATCTCTGACACAATATTCAAATCCATACTTTACCAAAGTAAAGAATAGAAGGAATTTTCTAACATTCTTTTCAAGATATAACCATAAAAATGATTTTTGTATTTCAACCTTGGAGTATAATATGCCATGATATCATCACAATTCTAGTCATGGTCTATATTTCCTTGGTTTAAAGTTAATGTTCTACCTATTTGTCAATATTTAGGGAATATTTAGAGAATCACAATTTAATGTATTTGAATTTTCTTCAACAAAACCATCTTCTTTAGCATGGCACAATTTATCAAGACTTTTTATTCTCAATCTCTCCTACCTTTTTTCTTACAGTTTAATTGTAATAATGGGAAAAGCAATATTTCTTAAAGAGTTTTACTACTTTAAGACAATGCTCTTCAAATTTGGTGAGTGTTATAAGGCTAGAAGGTACTTATTAAAATGCAGAATAAAGAGCCCAGAAATAAGACTACACATCTACAACCATCTGACTGACAAAGCTGACAAAACATAATACTGTCCTGGACATAGGAATGAGCAAAGATTTCATGACAAAGACACCAAAAGCAATCACAACAAAAGCAAAAATTGGTAAGTGTAATCTAACCAAACTTAAGAGCTTCTGCACAGCAAAAGAAGCTATCAAAAGAGTAAACAGACAACCTACAGAATGAGAGAAAATATGTGCAAAGTATTCATCTGACAAAGGTGACATATCCAGCATTTATAAGGAACTTAAACAAATTTATGAGAAAAAAAAAACCCATTAAAAAGTGGGCCAAGGACCTAAACAGACACTTCTCAGAATAAGACATACATGTGGCCAGCAAACATATGAAAATAAGTTCATTATCACTGATCATTAGAAAAATGAAAATCAAAACCACAATGAGATACCATCTCACACCAGTCAGAATGGCTATTCTTAAAAAGTCAAAAAATAATAGATGCTGGTGAGGTTGTGAAGAAAAGGGAACACTTACATACTGTTGATAGGAATGTAAATTAGTTCAAACATTGTGGAAAGCAATATGGCAATTCCTTAAAGAGCTAAAAACAGAACTACCATTCAACCCATCAATCCCATTACTGGTTATATACTCAGAGGAATATAAATCATTCTACCGTAAAGACACATTCACGTGAATGTTCATTGCAGCAGTATTCACAATAGCAAAGACATGGAATCAATCTAAATGCCCAAAAATGACAGATTGGATAAAGAAAATGTGGTACATATATACCACAGAATACTATGCAGCCATAAAAAAGAATGAGATCATGTCTTTCGTGGGAACATGGATGGAGCTGGAGGCTATTTTCCTTAGCAAACTAATGCAGGAACAGAAAACCAAATGCCGCATGTTGTCACTTATAAGTAGGAGCTAAGTGATAAGAACTTGTGGACACAAAGAAGGAAACAACAGACACTGGTTCCCTTTTCTTCACACCCTTGCCAGCATCTATCTGTTATTTTTTGACTTTTAAAAATAAGTCTACTTGAGGAGGGAGGGTGGGAGGATGGAGGAGGCAGAGGAGCAGAAAAGATAACTATTGGGCTCTGGGCTTACTACCTGAGTGATGAAATAGTATGTACAACAAACTCCCATGACGTGTGTTTACCTATGTAATAAACCTTTACATGTACCCCTAAACCTAAAACAGAAGTTAAAAAAAGGCCCAGCCGGTCATAGTTTCCTAAACACAGAGATTGGTTCAGGGGAAATAATAATTCCAGGCAGGACCAAATTCCTTCCTTTGGATTGCTATACGGATCTTGAAGAAGAAATAATATCATTCTTCTGAGATTTCTAAATAGAGAGGATGTGAGACTGAGATTCCATAATGGCCATTTCTATCTGCTAAAGGCACCTCTGTAGAATAGAGCCAACTACAGATATGAGATTGTTGGAGAAAAAATATTGGCTGTGTGAAGGACCCTGTATCTTTTTTTTAGTTAAGAGACAGTCATTTCTCTTTCTATTTAAGTTTCCTTTTTTTTTTTCTGTTACCTGCGACCAGAAGAATCCAGACCAGTACATAGCAAAAGCAAAGAATACCAGGTATGGCATATTGGTTAGGTGCATGCCTGCCTGTGCAGACATTATTGTCTAGATTAATTAGCTATACCTCTTTAATTTATTTTTTCTGTGGTTACTCTACTTTACAACATTCATCTGTCACTTACCAATATTCTTTCTTGATGTATAATGTAACAACAACAGATACTTCCATTCACTTTCACCATTATTTGTGGATAGTGCTAACACAATTTACTTCCACGTATCATATAAATCCTATAATATACAGTTAAATGTTTGCCTTAAGCTGTCAAATAACTTTGTCAAGAATTAAATAATAAGAAAATATTTTATATTTACCCATGTATTTACCACTTCCAAGGCTCTTTTCTTTATTTAGATGTGTATTTACATTTTGGTATAACATTTCTTCCACCTAAACTTAAAAAAATTTTTTCTTATAGTGAAGGTTTACTGATGACAGACTCTTTCAGCTTCTGTGTCTTAAAATATCTTTTTTTTGCCTAAATTTTTGAAATTTTATTTTGTGGATATGGAATTCTTGGTTGATAATTTAGCACTTTAAAGACATTGTTGCACTATGTTCTGCGTGGTGGTATTCCTCATTCCCCTTTGGGTAATGTGGCTCAGTTTCTACCTGCTTTTCATCAATTTGATTATAATGTGCTGCAGTGTTATTTTCGTTGTGTTTACTTTGCTTGGGGTTTGTTGTCTTTATTGGATTTATAAATAGTAAATAGTTAAAATAAAATTGGGGGTATTTTGATTTTTATTTTTCCAAATATTTTTCTTCTCTCTTCATCTCTCTGGTCTTCAATTACTTGTGTGATAAATTATATTGCATTCCTCCACAGAACACTGTAGTTTGTGTTTTTCTCTGTACATGAGTTTGTATAGTTTCTTTCGTAGTGCCTTTAAGTTCATTTATCTTAAGTTAGTCGGTTCTAATTTCTGTTTAATTTCATCCAGTAAAATTTTCACTTTAGATATTGTATTTTTGAGTTCTATAAGTTTTATTTTAAAAATATATTTCCCTTTTCTTCAAAATTTTTAAGGTTATCCTTTAAATTTTTTAATATAGTTACAATATCTATTTTAAGTTCTTGTCAGCTAAATCTACTATCAATTTCATTTTGAGGTGTGTCTTTCTATTTACTGATTTCTCTTTTATTTGTGGATCACATGTTTTACTTCTTTGTAGATGTAGGAATTTTGTCTGGATGCTGGACATTATTACTATTATTATTATGCTGCGATTCTGAATTTTATTGATTGCCTTTAAAGAAAGTTGAGTTTTACTTTAGTAGCTAGAGAAATTACTTCCGGATCAACTTGATCTTTTCAAAGCCAAAGATAAAAAAGTCACCTATATACAAAAAATGATAACATGAAATGAAAGGAAATGATTTGTATGTAAAAGGGTAAAGTCCTGAGACAACTTCTGGGAACTACTGATCAATTTCTTTTCCCACTGATTATTAAAGTCAGTAAAAATAGTCACTTACTTAGTTTTACATACACATTTTTTTTTCATTATGTCTTCACATTAGCATCATTCCTTGATGGAAAACAGCAAAAATCTAGACTCCAACCAGGAAAAAGTAGCTACATATTCTCTCCCAGCACCCTGTGCAATTCAGGCAAACTCTTTCTTGAGTTGCTTTTCCTACCTTTAACATTACCTTAGAACTTTGTGAATGACCATCGTAGAGAAAAGAACAAGGAGATAACTTTAAATATCATGGGAAATACTGAATTTGACATGGAACTAATAATCTAAGAACAGATAGAATATGATTAAATGAGTGCTACTCTGGTGCATTTTCAAGAGATTATAAAAAGAAATTTTTACTTGATCAAACCATCTAGAGATTATTGAAGAAAGATAATTTGTAAGTTGGAGTATTTGAGCTATCTCAAACATACCAAATTATGGCATACCTTCTTTTTCTTTTATAGATATGCAGGATTCTGTAATTTGATTTTGACTAGATTTTATTAGACCAGTAAGTTAGGATAAAAAATATTAAAATTGAAAAATGCTAGAATAGTCCAATTGTATATGTGGGCATTCAAAGGAAAATGTAATGTTAGTAACATAAGGCATTTAAGTAAAGTCAGTTGTTAATTTATTAAGTATGTCTACACTATAAGTAGATATATGGTAGACATATAGTGATATACAGTATGATGAAAAATTAAACCAGTCTACTGCATGGTTCATAGGTACTTTCAGATTCAATTTAAATTTCACCACAGTGTTTTATACACTAGCAATCTTAAAAATAGGAATGTGATTTCCTCTTCAAATTTTTTTTTGGCATAGGATGCCCAAAATATCTAAATTTGGTCAGTTCAGTTAAATGTCCCAACAAAAAATATTTTCTTTTGGTAAAAATACTTTTTTACTTTTCAATTGTTAGGTTAAAGTTGTGATTGTATAATGTACAGCACTTGTTGAAGTATAGCTTGAAGATTTGTAGGGGGTGCCTGAGACTCTCTGAGGTCAAACTATTTACATAATATTATTAAAAATTTTTTGCCTATTTCACCTTCAGTCTTTCATGAGTGTGCAGTGCAGTTTCCATGGGCTACAAGATGTGTAAAATTACAGCAGACTGAATGCAGAGACAGATAGGACTCCATAGCTATTTTCTACTACACATGACATTAAAGAGATATGAAAAATATTAAGAAATGCTACTCTTCATGATTTTTTATTTGAAAAACACAGTTTAAAAATATATTACTTATGTTAACATACATTGAATTTATTAGTTATTTTGAAATGGATTAATATAAATATTAATTGCTCAGTTTTATTATCTAATATGACAAATATTTAACTCATTGGCATGCCCAGTAATTTTTAAGTGTGGAAAGGTATCCTGATACCAAAAAGTTGGTGAAACCCTGATTTTATATATATATATATGTACACACACACACACACACACACATACATATACATATATATCTGCCACATTGACATTAAATAGTTAAGCATTAAAAGAATAATCTTAATGAGTAACTGGGGGGAAAAGTGGAAGCATGCTTCTGCGAAACTGGGAGTGTATGACACTGAAACAGGCACATCACAGAAGATATCTGTGCAATGCGGATAACTATATCAGATACTACAGCATCAAAACCCTTTTTTTTCCTCACACCATAAAAGAAGGCAGAATAACTATAAAATTCTTCATATGACTACAGACAGATGGGTGAAAGCAGAATATAGCCATAGGAAGGTCCAAAGAGAATCAATGCAAATTTGAAAAAAAAATTTCTTTAGGGAATATACAATCATAGAAATTGTTTTTAGAGAACATAAATTAAGAGAAGAGCAAGACATATTTCATTTTCCCAGTGTTTACAAAAATCTTTAGAGTAAATAAGAAGTTCAAGTAATGTTTAGTGAAGGCTTTTTGGTTACAGAAACTCACTCACATCTAAACAAGAAAGAAAAATTTATTTGAGGATACAGGGGTGTTTGATTACCAAGGGAGAAAGTACAACCAAGCTTCAGGAGGGATCAGAACCTGGAGGTGACCAACATCAAGTCCTCAGAAGGTTATTAAGTTATTGTCCTTCTTTTTGGAAAACTATATTTTAAAAAACATCTTGGTTTCTCTCTGGGATCCTGATAAATTCATTTGCTTCTGTAGATTGCCTATTTTGCTACTCCATGCGTATGGCTGAATATGACCCATGTAAGTCCTCATGTTTACAAGGCAAGCCACCAGCAGAAGTTGGCTAGCATCATTAAATTCTGACTCCAAATGGTTAGAATAGTCGGACTGGCCCAGTTTAGGGTATATGTCCAACCTTGATCAAGGTAGTTATTGCCTAGAAGTGTTTGGGCACTGAAGCTCATGAAGGACTGTGTTAGCTCTCAAAGAAGTGACTTGTGAGCTAGACAAACATTGCATCTCAGTAGCAATAAAAGATATGTAAGTATACCCAACAAATTTCTACTTATCTCTAGATAATTTAGTTACCCTACTCAATGTCTCAGCCAATCTAATTTTAGTACGTAATCACCACAGCTTTAGTGATTGGTGTAAACACTCTCTTTACATATAACTCTAGGTAACTGTCTTGATAGAAGTACCCTGGGACAATTCTCTTTATGAAGCTTGGGCTCTGAAGCAATTGCTACATTGTAATGAACTGTATTTCTTTGGGCAATAGACTCACCTAAATTAACCTATATATAAATGGGAGCTGATATGACCTGAGAAAATAACTGTGGATATGCATAGTTCTGTAATGGAATCTCACAGTTGGCTTAGCATTGAGATTAATTTTGAAGTACTGTGTCTGGAGTGTTCCTTGAAGACCTGTTCACTACCGGTATGTTACAACCATATCCAACTGCATCCATACAATGGAAGGCCTAAATGCTATCCCTCCCCGACAGCCTGAGTTCATGAGACATACACCACCAGTTCTCACATGCAACAACAGGACTTTCCTGGAACAGCCAAAAGATGGGCCTATTTTCTTGGAAATGCAGTCTGCTCCCCTTCAATCCTGATTAGAAAATGCTGAGAAAATGTAATTGTTCTTTTTTGGTCATGCACCATGTCTTTTGTCCTTATAGTTAATGGGAGAAATTGGAAGTGGCATTAAAACTTGCCTGTGTCTTGCCAACATCTGTGCATACGTGTCTCTATGTGAATACTCACTTATTTAAAGGGGAATAATCATTTCTATAGCTCCACTTTTGAAACTGGAAAGTTGATCTTAATCAGACTAACTTAGTAACTAGGGCAATATGACATATGCTGCAGTGATAGTTCTTTTTATAAAAAATTCATTGAAAATCCCCATTCTCAATGCTTATCATAGCTGTGCACAGAAATCATATCTTTCTGGTCTTTCACAGATCTAGGGACTTGATCTGATGGGAAAAACCTCCATACCATTGTATAACACAGCTAACAAGTGGTGTTCCCAAAAGAATACCATTTCAAATGTTGACATCAGGTGGTGGTAATAGAAAATAGGACAAGAACTCACATCTCTTAAATCTTCTCTTGGCTGCCTACTGCTGCTCTGGATTCAGTGTCTCCCTCAGACCAAAGCAAGTGAGTCTGTGTTCCATATTATAAACCTCTGCAGGTCCTCCTCCAGCCATGTCTTCTCTCTGAAGAGTTAAAAGTCTGCAAAGTCAAGGGAATTGTGTCTATTCAGAATTTGGGACTCTCTCTCTTTAACCATTCTTTGGATACCTGGAACACTAAAATTTGCTTCCCAAACAGCACCAAACCAACTTCCGAGGTTTATGTAGGGCATTTCCTAGAGGGCATCCTCTTTAGGAAATACTGTCCTATGAAAGGACCCATCCCAAGATTAAAGAAATAGCCAAAGGACTAATGTTTACAGTGGCAGAGATAGAACTTGGACTTGCAGTTTGGGGTGGGCATGCAACCAGGCCTTTTCCTGTGTGGGATGGAGGTAGGGATGGAAGACAAGGGAGGTAAGTTACTCCTTACTGAGGATTAAGAATTGGTTCTTATTATGATACTTTTTTTTTTTCAGAAACCCAATAAATACAAGAATTCTAAATTCAAACTTGGCCTTCCAAGTATTATAAAGATTTATTTATTGAAGTAGAAGAATAGACATATTTCTTTTAAATTTTTGGCTTGATTTATAACTTTCAAATACTTAGATATATGATATGTGGGCCTCCATTTGTACTCTTGCCCAGTAATCCACAAATGGCCAGCACACCCAGATTCTTAAGAGTTTCCAGGAAAGTTCAAATGCTTTATTAATATACAACTTTTGCCCTGACTCTAAAGTATTTGTGTCATAGGGTGAGCTGGATAGAAAGAGATAGAAACATTTTCCAGCCTGTGATAGGACAGCCTAAACTGGAACGAAATCAAGCAGAGCAGCTTGTTTATGTCTCTCTCAAGCCCAGACCTACATTTTATCCCTTTATATTCAACCTTCAAAAGCAAGGGGAGGCAAATCTAAAGAGATGACTGCCAAACAAGCATGGAGGAGAAAAGGTTCACTTTAAGACTTAGAGAACAGGAGATAAAACCCAACTATCCTAGGATTTCTTGTCTGAGACCTCCCTGGTTCCTGATAGACATTTCCTCTGTCTACACTTGACTATGATTTCTTAGTGAAGAGGCATTAAATATTGTCACTGAGGTGTTATTTGTATTTCTTGGGTATTTATTTGGTTAAAAAAGCTATAGGTTGAGTTCCTTCTTCTACATGGGTAGCTACACTTGGCAGACAAACATACAACTACAGTTAAGATTCTTATGCATAGAGCAGGCCAAGAACTGCTCTCAAGCAGTGCCCTTTACAAAATAATGCTTCAGTGAAGTCAGTGTCAACCCAGATGCATCCTAACTTACACAAACACAATCTGAGATGATGCCACAGGGAGAGCTAGGTTTGCTATTGCCCAGCATTCAAGCAGCAACATAAATACTACAGATTCAAATTTCTTATTATCCCTCATCTGGTAAATTAATTCCATAGTCTTTTTTTTTTTAATTAAACCTTGAGATATCTCACCATTCTGCAATATTATCACACTCAATATTAAGGCACAGTTCAGATGTCAATAAAGTTAGCAAAGTCAGTATTACTCACTACTGATCTTTTAATGAACTGCCATATTTTCCGGCAGGCCAAAATGTCGAAGCCAAGTTTAAGCATTATCCACGTGGTCTGCTTTCAAGCTTGATATTATATCTTGCTACACAGCAACATTAGTGCTCATAAAGCTTAATGTTTCCGGGGCTCACCCTCTGTGTAAGCAGGTTAGGTGGCTACTTCTGTGACCTGATTTCAGAGCTTGCAAACCTTTTCTATTCCTGATATTTTTAAACATCTATTCTGCATCTACCATTGTACTAAAACCTGTGCTAAATGCTACTGCCAGAAAGACACAGTGTTGGCCTTCCAAGTCATTAGAGCGATGAAAGTGGCAGACATGACTGGCTTGCTATGGTGTGGAGAATTCTCATAGTGGAGGAGCTCCTTGTCATTAAGTAACTAGGCCTCCATGCTGCCTGTGTTAAAAATGCAAACGTGGGAGGTGAAACTCACTGGTCTATTAAAATCTGTATTAGTTAGGTAAAGGTTAAGCTGCCATTTAAGAAAAAAGTAGATCGCAAATATGGTCGTTTTAAAAGATCTTTAATTTCTTAGCAAATGTTTTCATCTGCATGATCAAAAGTTGAATTGCAAGCATGTGCATGTTCTGGCTTACAGCAGGGGAAAAGAACAGATGTTGAGGGCAAGCAATTTGCTTTTAAACCGATGAAGCAGAAATTGCGCTTATCATTTCCATTCATATTCCCTTGGTGATAACTAGGTCACATTCCAGAGACAGCTGCAAAGGAGTCTGGAAAATGGAGTCTCCAGCTGGGCGGCCCCATACCTTGTTTGAACTCTAGTATTCTGAAACAATAGCAGTATGGATTTTGATAGAAAACCAACTAGCAGTGTCCACTATAGAATCACTCAAAACTTCAGCATTTTCTGCATAGTCCATTTAATAAATTAGCTATTGTTCTAGTAAAATTTCAAGGTTATGAGACACACAACGGAATATTCTTAAAAGGGTGAGAGTCGGTAGGCACTCTGCAGGATAATTGGGCCTGATTGTGAGTTGGGTGCAGAATGGAAACAGTAGTCATCTAAAATAAACTTGGAGAAGAATTTGGTAGCTAAAGATAAACTCGAAGGCACAATGAGGAATCATCTTGGAACACGGTGGAGATATTATACTGAGCTGGTGATATAACAAAGTCAAAATCATCTCAGAGCTGTCTGTGAGCGCATCAGTAATTAGAATACAATTGACCCTCGAGCAACACAGAGTCGACTGCGTGAGATTTGCTTTCACCTCTGCCACCCCTGAATCAGCAAGACCAACCCCTCCTCTTCCTCTTCCTCCTCAGCCTACTCAAGGTAAAGACAAAAATGAAGACCCTTATAATTACCTACTTTACTTGATGAATAATAAACATATTTTTTCTTCCTCATGATTTTCTTAATAACATTTCCTTTTCCCTAACTTTTTTGTGGGTAAGAATACAGTGTATACTGTATTTTGTATTAATAAAAAACGTGTTAATTGACATTTTGTTATTGGTAATGCTTCCATTCAACAGTAGGCTATTAGTACTTAAGTTTTGGGGGAGTCAAAAATTATACGAAAATTTTTGACTGTGCGAGGGATTGGCAGCCCTAATCCCCACATTGTTCAAGGGCCAACTGTACTTACATATTCAGTTTTTGCAAACAGTATTGTACCTATTTTTGTTTCTCCAACTGGAAAAGGCATAGAGGTATGGACATTAGCATTGGACATTTCTACCTATAAAATATTTTAGCATTAATATCAAAAAATCATTTAAAGTTAATGTATTTACACTTGAGATATTTTATGCTGTTTAATTTTTCACATCCTTATTTGGATTTTGTTAGATAAATTTAAAATGCATAGTGAGGGTGATAAGCACATATTTATACTTATTCATTTGAGGTTTTTGAAATGCTGGATGCAGCCTGGATTCTTTAGTTATATGATGATCTGGCGCCACCCAGCAGACTGGGCAAGCATTAACTCTGTGACCACTTGAAAAACAAGGGCTGAGAGTGGCTTTCACAGTGGTGAGTCAGTCTTCCCAAACAACAGACTGTTCTCCTGGTTCTTATGTCAGGAGGCAGTCAGGCTATTCAGGAACTACTTGGATAAAACTGATCTTTCAAGTTAGATTATTTTTTCAAATGCCAAATCCTACATACAAATTAAAAGATTTTCCCAATTTGCCCTATTTCCATTTCTTCCCCCATTTTCAAGAATAGAATTAGGATTTGGCTCTTTGTTTGCAACTTCCCTGATCCTTTCCAATCCCTTCACCTACATTTCTGGAGATCATGGTAGAGAACTGAAAGGGCTTACTCATTTGCGATCAAATTTGAATTGTAAACTACTTTCCTAGCTACGTCCATGGTGTTCAAACAGGGAATTATTCTAAGGAGAAAATGTTTTTAAAATTTATTTTATTTTTAACTTTTATCTATTTATTTATTTGATACTGGATTTTGTGACTGGCTAATTCTTTTGTAATTTGGGTAGAGATGGGGTTTTGCCATGTTGCCAAGGCTGGTCTTGAACTCAGGCTCAGGTGATCCACCTGCCTTGGCCTCCCAAAGTGTTGGGATCACAGGGATGAGCCACTGTACCCAGCTGGAAATATCTTACAAGACTGTGATTTAGATTTCTCTACCATTTACATTTTTTCCATACACCGTTTAATCTCATAAGTTCCCTGGGGAGTGTCTCCAATTATATAAATTACTAAGAACGCTGTGCCAAACCTTACCACTGTTTGTGGTGAAAAATATAAGTAGGCTTTTGTCCAAATTGCCTTTAAATGTTTATCACATTCTTCTTTATAGATTTACGTTTTACCTATACCATTCACACAGACAGTACTGCTTATAAAAAATGTTATTGAAGACTATTGTCTCTGAAGATGTAGCTTAGGTTGAAAATCAGCCAAACTACAATAATGAAAGAAACTACAATAATCTATTTGGGAAGAATTTATTAATTTTTTTTTTAGACTGAGTCTTGCCCTTGCAACCCAGGCTGGAGAGCAATGGCACTATCGGCTCACTGCAACCTCTGCCCCCCGGGTTCAAGTGATTCTCCTGCCTTAGCCTCCCAAGTAGCTGGGATTACAGGCACCTGCCACCACCCCAGGGTTTTGTATTTTTAGTAGAGACGGGGTTTCACCATGTTGGCCAGGCTGGCCTTGAACTCCTGACCTCAAGTGATCCACCCCTCAGCCTCACAAAGTGCTGGGATTACAGGCGTCAGCCACCACGCTCGGCCTGTTGGTTTCTTAAGCTGAAGAGAGTACCTATTGCTTCTTTCTTACAACTCAAGCAATAGGCTTTTAAATTATTGGTGGTACCAGCTTACCAGGAATACCTTCTTCAATTACTAATTTCAGGTTAAGAGTTCCTATTTAGCTTAAATATCAAGCTCCCTGAAAGAATAACCTATACTAAGTTTTTCTTCACCTTCATATTTTTATTGTTTTCAATTTAATGCAGCCATGTTCCTATCACACTTCTTCATGAAAATTACTGGAGTCAGGAGTAACTTTTTGTTCACCAAATGTAATGACTGCTTAAGTCTTCACCTTTTCTGTACCACTTATCTCGCTTCGACATTATCTTCTTAAATTCCTATCTCTCTTTGGTTTTTATGACACACTTTTTCTGGTTCCTGTCTCGTTATCTCATCCTTTTCTTCTTTTCTTCATTGCAGTTTCTTCTTCTGCTGTCTGCACTGTTTATGTCAGAGGTCAAGGGTTCTGCATTTGGTCTTCTTTCTATCCTCACTGGAGTATTCCTACCATTTCAGTGACTACAACCACTGCAATTATCTCTAACCTGACCTCTTTCCTGATGTCATACTCACATATTGAATTGCCCTGTAGACATTTTTAACAATGTCTCACAGACATTTCAAAAGTGTCCAAAAGAGAGCTCATTGCCTTTCCTCTCAGATGTGCTTCTTCTTCTTCACAATGTTTTTAATAAAAAGCATCCATGCAGTCTCCTAGCAAGAACCCTTAAAAATTTTAGATGTCTTCCTATTGCCACCTCTCCCTTGTATCAGACATCTAAGTGACCAGTTTCTATTATTTTCAAACACCAAATATATCTCCAGTTTATTAGCTTCATTCTACTCCCCCCGACCAGTTTCTGCATTAATTAAGGCCATCATCTTGTTTCACTAGATTATTGTTATGGCTGCTAATTTGTAAACCTTTTCTCTGTCTCTCCATTCTTCAATATCTTTTTGACAATGCCACCAGAGGGGAAAAAAAGCAAATCTGGTCATATTATTTCCATGTTAAATGATTGTTCTATTAATTATTGACAGAGGAATGCTGAAATTGAAGTCAGTCCAATTTTCCAACAAGCCAGGTGTCTATAGAACTGAAGCTTGAGAAACTTACATTTGTATAATGAAATGCACCTGCTGTCTGTTGACCAACTTCTTTTCCTTGTCCCTTCTGTTGTCCTTCCCAGCTATATAAACCCTTGAATGGGCGTGGAGAAAGGGGGAGAGTGGGAGAGTGAAGAGTGGATTTAGGGTTTGCCTCCCACCTCTCCAGCTGACATCACCCAAATAAAATCTTCTTCTCTGACAATACTCATTGTCTCAGTGATTGGTTTTCTGTGTGGCGAGCAATGGGACCTAGAGCAAACCCCTGGTTATTCGTAATACAATTTCCTACTATAACTATGAATTTGTCTATTTCTACTTGCAGAAATGTTAATGTCTTCTGTAGATTCGCTTATTTTTTTGTTTCTGTAAAGTTTTGCTTTGCTTACTTTTAAGCTCTATTATAAGTAGCATGCACACTTAGAAATATTATGTATTTTTTTAACGAATTCCATTTATCATTATGAAATATCTCTTTATCTTTGGTACTACTTGTTTTGAAGTTTACTTTGTTGGCTATTCATATAGCCGAACCAGGTCTCTTATGATTAGGAGTTTGCTTTCAACCTATCCATGTTGCGTTTAAAATGCAATTTCTGTAGAGGGTGTACAGTATACTGTTAGTATGCTGACTTTTTTCGCCTCTGACAATATTGCTTTTTCTTCAGAATGTGTAGTCATTTTACATTTAATGCAATTATTGATATGATTTACTTGAAGTTTAACATCTTATTTATATTTTTAATTTTTTGTTCTTCTTTTGTTTCCTTGATCTTACTTTCCTGCCTCCTTTTAATCTAGTATTAGTTTAAAGTAGTATTAAGTTAGCATTCTATTTTATATAACCTGTTAGATTTTTATTATACTTCTTCATTTTATTTTTAAGTAGTTGCTTTGCTTTAGGGACTAAAGTATGCACATTTAACCTACCATATTCTATACTGAATTAATATACTCCACCTCACATATCATAGAGGACACTCATCAAATTATAATTCTATTTATTCCCATTTCATGTTTTTTAATGCTCTTAAGCATTTTACTTTTTCATATATTATTAACCTCACAATATAAATGTTTCATTTTAAATAGTGAAGTGTCTTTCAAACAAATTAGGAGAAAAAATGCTTGCATATTCACCTTGTTATTTACCATTTTTGGCATTCTTCAATTATTTTTGCAGATCTGAATTTCCTACTGGTATCATTTCTCTTCAGATTGAAGAAGTTTTGACATTTCTTATAGTGCAGATATGATGGCAACAAATTCTCTCAGCTTTGATTTATTATTTATTCATTTATCTGAAAAAGTATGTATTTTACCTTTAGTTTTGAAGGCGATTTTTGCTGGATGTAGGATTCTAAGTTGATAATCGTTTTTTAGTTGTTTTCTTTTAGCACTTTAAAATGTCAATGCGTTGGGTTAATGAGATTGTTACTCCCTCTTACATGATGCATTCTTTACTGTGGTACCCGTTAGAATTTTTTCTTTCCCTTTGGATTTCAGTTTGACAATTATATGCTTATGTGCATTTTGCATAAATTTACTCCATTGGAGATTCAGCGACCTTCCTGGATTTGTAGATGTATGTATTTTCAAACATATAAGGAAACTTTTCAGTCATTGTTTCTCCAAGATCTTTTGTACTCTGACTTATTCCCTCTCCTATCCTTCTGTTCTTCCAATTACAGGTATATTTGACTGCTTGATTTAACAGTTTGTTATGTCTTTAACAGTTTGTTATGTATTTAACAGTTTGTTTATGCCTTTTTTTCTATGCTTTACTTTGGATAAGTTCTCCTGACCTGTCTTCAAGGTCACTAACCATTTGATTATTTTGTGATTTTTCTGTATAGTTCATCTATTTTTTTTTTTTACATATTGTAGTTTACAGATATATAATTTTTAACTAATTTTTCTTACTTATTTTATTTTATTCTCTGCTGAGATTACCCACCTATCCACCTATTCTCATATTTTCCTATTGAAGATAGATCTTTTAAATTATTTTCTGCTAATTCCAGTATCTGGATCATCTGTGGTTTGCTTTTGGTGATTTTTTTCCCTTGCGCGTGAGTCCTATTTCTGCCTCTACGTAGGTCTCGTAATTTGTTATTGCATAGTAGAAATTAAGTATAGAAGAAAAATAGGGTTAGAGGATTAACACTGGGTTTTTATTTTCTTTTTGCCAAGAAATTTCAAGTTATTTTTTCATCTGTTGGCTAAAGTGGGAGTTGATTGTTCAGATTTCACCAAGGGTTTATTTATCTGGGACTGAGATGAAGCTTCCCTCTTGTTAACCCAATCGCCAACATTCAGTTTTCCAAGGAAGGGCTAGTCTCATGGAGCTTATCAGGATTTTATTTGGGATTCCTTGCAATATCTTTGAATTTTTAAATTTCAGGTATGGGGAGAATATGGGAGATGCAGCAGATTGAATGATTTCTGTCTGCTTATCAGTTCTTACTTCAATTTCATTGTTTTCAGCAAACTTGGGATAAGGTGGAGAGAATGACTGCGTTGAGCAAACTATTACTGTGCTTGGTAGTCTTTCAGACCGTAATGTAGCCCACGATCTCCACTGTTGCCAATAGCTCAGATGGCTTCATTTCCACCCAGTAAAGTCCTGGGTCTTGACCATTCTTCTGCTCGTCCTGCATCCAGACCTGCCAGATCTCACTGCTTACTTATAATGGGCACCTTTCTCTGGAAATCAGTTCATCAAGCCTTTCATGGTTCATTGACAGTCCCATATGGAAATATGATTTTTATTTTATCTTTTGACATTCTCATAATGTCAGAGGTGTGTGAACCAGAGCAACTCCGTCTAGAACAGGAGCTGGGTAAAATGAGGCTGCGACCCATGGGGCTGCATTCCCAGACAGTTAAGGCATTCTAAGTATAGGAGGTTGGCAGAAGATACAGGTCATAAAGACCTTGCTGATAAAACAGTTTACTTCAAAGAAGCCAACTAAAACCAACCAAAACCAAGATGGTGATGAGTGACCTCTGGTTGTCCTCACTGCTACACTCCCACCAGTGCCATGACAGTTTACAGATGACATGGCAACATCAGGAAGTTACCCTATATGGTCTAAAAAGGGGAGGCATAAATAATTCACCCCTTGTTTAGCATATAATCAAGAAATGGCCATAAAAATAAGCAACCAGCAGCCTTCCGGGCTGCTGTCTATAGGGTAGCCATTTTTTGTTCCTTTACTTACCTAATGAACTTGCTTTCACTTTACTCTATGGACTCGCCCTGAATTCCTTCTTACACGAGATCCAAGAGCCCTTTCTTGAGGTCTGGGTCTGCACCCCTTTCCTGCAACAATAAGAGCTAAGGTCTTTTGTGTCCTAATTGGAAGCAGAAAGTGCCTAGTGAACTTTTAAACGTTTTTTGATACTCATTTCAAATGTTACTTCTTAGAAGTTTTTTATTAAAATTCTCATTTGAAACTAATTCTTCTGTTGTGGCCCTGATATACAATCTTAGATTATTATCTATATTAGTTTAAAATAACTAGTTGTTTATTGGATTTATTTTCTAAAAGACAATACAATATTTGAGTCCAAGGACCACATTTTATTCATCCATTTAGTGTCAATAAATAGTGGTAGATTGTGTTGTGAAATGAAAATAAATCTTGGGGATCCCAAAATCACTAAGCTAAAGGGAAAAGTCAAGCTGGGAACTGCTTAGGGCAAACCTCCCTCCCATTCTATTCGAAGTCACCCCTCTGCTCACTTATAAATGCATATGTTATTGCCTTCTTTGGAGAGGCTAATCAGAAACTCAAAAAAATGCAACCATTTGTCTCTTACCTACCTATACCTGGAAGCCCCTTCCCTGCTTGGAGTTGGCCCGCTTTTCTGGACCAATCAATGTTCATCTTACATATGTTGACTGATGTCTCATGTCTCTCTGAAATGTATAAAACCAAGCTGTGCTCTGGTGCATGTGTCGTCAGGACCTCCTGAGGCTGTGTCACGGGTACGGGCCCTCAACCTTGGCAAAATAAACTTTCTAAATTAACTGATACCTGTCTTATATATTTGGAGTTCACGGTACTATAAGGAATTTAAACAGCAAGAAATCAACAAGAAAAATCAAATAACTCCATTAAAAAGTGAGCAAAGGACATGAACAGACAATTCAAGACATACAAGTGGCCAACCAGCATATGAAAAAATGCTTATCATCACCAGTCATCAGCGAAATGTAAATCAAAACCACAATAAGATATCATCTCACATAAGTAAGAATGCCTATTATTAAAAAGTCAAAAAATTACAGATGTTGGTGAGGCTGCGGAGAAAAGGGAATGCTTATATACTGTTGGTGGAAATGTAAATTAGTTTAGCCACTCTAGAAAGCAGTTTGGAGATTTCTAAAAAAACTACAAAGATAACTACTATTTAACCCAGAAATCCCACTACTGGGTATATACCCAAAGGAAAACAAATCATTTTACCAAAAAGACACATGCACGTGTATGTTCACTGCAGCATTATTCACAATAAAAAAGACACGGAATCAACTTAGGGTTCCATCAATGGTGGATTGAATAAAGAAAATGTAGTACATATACACTACGGAATACTATGCGGCCATAAAGAATGAAATCATTTCCTCTGCAGCAACATGGTTGTAGCTGGAGAGAGTTATCCTAAATGAATTAATGCAGAAACAGAAAACCAAATACTGAATATTCACAGTTATAGGTGAGAACTCAACACTGAGTACACATGGACACACAGGAACAGTAGATGCTGAGGACTACTAGAGGAGAAAGGGAGGGAGGGGGAATAGGGCTAGAAAAACTACCTATTGGGTAATATGTTCACTACCTGGGTGATAGGTTTAATCATACCTCAAGCCTCAGCATCATGCAATATACCCTTGTAACAAACAAGCATGTGTATCCATGAGGCTAAAATAAAAGTTAAAAAAATGGTGTAAATTCTGTGTCACTATGAATACATAATAATCTTGTTGAGTATACCATATTTTCTCTTACCTCCATGACCTTGCACATGCTAAGGTCTCCCCCTATGGCATAAAATTCCCATCCTTCCTTTACCTGTGAAACTCTGGCTTATACTCCAGCGCCCATCTCAGTCAATCTTTTTTCAGTCAGATTTTCTTGATGCTCTTTCAGAGTACCTACCACATAACAGTATATGTTAATTTTAATTATGTTCCCTACCTCTAGCACCAGAGTGCAAGCTACTGACAAGAGTAGACAATAGTAGAAGGGAAGCAGCTTAGAGTGGTTGAAAGACCATTAGTTTCAGTTGTAGATATACTGGGATTTAAATGGACTGGGCTTGTACTTAGTAGTTCTGAAAACTTTAGCAAGTTTATTAAATTTTCTGAAACTGCAAAGGT
Organism: Homo sapiens; assembly: GCF_000001405.40. Taxonomy (NCBI): domain Eukaryota; kingdom Metazoa; phylum Chordata; class Mammalia; order Primates; family Hominidae; genus Homo; species Homo sapiens. The sequence continues at coordinate 167,399,269 of NC_000003.12, read as the reverse complement.
ACAATCCCTGACATACAATTGGTACTCTATAAATGGGAGTTGTTATTGTGTGGTATTAGAAATTTATTGCTACAAAGTATTTACAAAATGTTTAGTGAATGAATGAGTGAGTGCATGAGTGAGTAAGTGAGAATTTTTTTTTTCTTACTAAATAGAGGCTGAGAAGTTTAAGGTCCAGTGTCTGCATCCGGTGAGAGCCTTCTTGGTGGTGGGGACTCCGAAGAGTCTCAAGGTAGCATAGGGCATCACATGGTGAGGGGGCTGAGCACGCTAATTGTTAGCTCAGTTCTTTCTTACTCTTCTTATAAAGCCACCAGTTCCACTCTCATGATAACCCATTAATCCAGTATTTCATTAATCTATTAATCCATGAATAGATTAACCCATTCATGAGGGCAGAACCTTAATAACCCAATCACTTCTTAAAAATCTGGCCCCATCCCTCAATACTGTCACATAGGGGATTAATATTTAACATGAGTTTTGGAGGGGACAAATATTCAAATCATAACATCTTGTGATAATGCCCTGACTACTTAAGAACAATTTACTTCTGGTATAACACATGTCCTAAAATTCTGCTAAGAGGTTGCAAATATCAGATATCTAAGAATTTTTTTCACGTGCTATCATAATTCTTTAGGTAATAAATCCAACCAGTTAGTGATAATAAATGTTCATTAAATATTTATACAGTAGGTTTATATATATTACATAATAAAATTCACTAGGTATAGAAAATATTTTCTAGCTAATAGGACATACATATCATAATTTAAGGCCTATAATTCTAAAGTTCATAAAAATCCAGACTGAATAATTTTCTGAAGCAGTGAAGATATTTTATTTTCCATAATAAAAGCATATTATTGACAATGTTATTGGGCCCTTTAAAGAATCTTATGCCTTTTTATATTTGTTGTAGACTGAACAATACTATATCTGACACTTCAAGATAAAATGAATTTGCATTTCACAGTTAAAGTCAAGTTATCTTTTTTTGCTGTGATAAAATATTCTTAAAAATGGGTAAGACGTTCTGACACAGCTACACATTTCTGAAACATAAACAAAATGAAAAATTTGAGAGCCCACAAATCAGTTTTCCATTGTAGAGATTCATTATCTGTAATCTTGCTTGACTGAACAGCTCTATGACTGAACAAGAATTGAAGCTCGTTCATTTTTTTTTCTCATCTTGTAGCACATTCATGAAACAAAGTGCCAGAACAAAATGGGCACACTACCAACTGTGTGCATTTTTCTTTTAGATGTTAGGATGCTGCCAGCCCAAACATGCTTTGTTTCTTTACCCCTATCCTCTCTGCTTGATTGTTGTCTCCTTAATTTGCAATTTGCTGAGCTTAAACTTATTTTTACAAGCAAACAAATGTAACCTAATTTTTTTTTTTTTGCAAGTGAGTTTGTTTAGTATTTTGAAAATCATATGAGTTTTTTTTTTTATTTCTCCAAATGAAGCTGATTCAGCAGGACATTTTTCCTTTTGAAAGGCAAAGCCATTTCAAGTGAAAGTTCTTCTAAAGATGATTTGTTTTTTCTTAGCCTTATAAGTTTTGTCATCATCTGCATTTCTCTCAGCATAAAAGGCTCTCTCCTGCCTTTCTCTCTTATTTATTGACTACTGTGCTAACAATAGTTTTCCTGGAAGCAGAAAAATTTCTTACCCTCTGACTTCTTGCTGGTCAACACAACTCTCTACTTTGACATGTTACATTTGGGAATGAAATATTAATATATGAGACCAGGCAATCTTTCGAAGAAGATAAAGTAAGGGAATAATCCATTCTGATAATTTTTTTCATGACATGAAAAAGAAAAAAGTGTGTTTTTGTGCATGTGCATATGTTGGAATGGGATAGAAATAAAATTTTATTTATTTTTAAAAGAATTTCATGGGCCATCCATACAGTGTATGTGAGGTGACTTGTGAACATTGACAAACTCAGGGTGGGGTTCTTCATTCAAACAAAACGTAGCAAGTCAATTGATGGCTGTAAGAAAAACCCAGAAAAATGCAAAGAAAATGCAGTCAGCGAAGACAAATGAGATGTAGGAGAAAGCATTTTGTAGAAAGGAGTCAGATTTTTTTTTTTTTTTTTTTTTTTTACCACCAAGAACCTCTTCTTCACGACTAATATCTTAGCAATTCTTAAGGTGAGTAGTTGAATGCTTTATGTTTATAAATTAAATACTCAAGGTTTCAATTTAAAAAAGGGAAAAAAATGAGCAATGCCATCCTTTCCATGTCAGACAAGAGCATTGGGCATTACTCCCTGGTCTTTTCCAATAACAATAACCAGATATGACATTGTGGCAATATTTTATTTAACATAAGACCTGTGAAAAGGAAAAACATAGCAGCATTTTTTAAAGGAGACACAAATGGTCTCTGCTTTTCACAGGACTTAAATAAAATATTCCTGAAGTAATTTTTCCCTATCTCTGTCTTCCTCATATTTTTGCTCTCAGGAAGAAAAGGGCAAGAAAAATTTCTAAAGTAACTTTGTTCAATTCAAATGTTCATTAACAAAACTTTAAAGACATTAGGGTGTCATTATCATCAAGTCTATTTTAGAAGTTTATTTTTACTTAATCAGTTACATACTCTCATTCATAAACCATAAACGTTTTTCACATGCCAAAGCATTTGTGCTTAGTTTCAACAAAACAAAGCAATACAAAATGAAGTGGTGCTACTTAAAAATAAGCCCAATCTGGGTAAAGAAAATACCATTTTTACTGCTAATTTCTCCCTGCTAGTGCTCAATCTAATGCCGGCAGACTTCTGCCTCATGTCTTGTTGCTACACATGGCTACAGGAGCTACATTCTGTGCCATCCTATGTGCCACTGAAGTGTGCTTCAAGGTCAATGTCGCCCCTAGGAGTTGCACAGCATAGAAATCCTGATTCTCTCAATCACTCAGGCTTACAACTATGCAAAGAGATTTCCATTGTCATTCATTTATACATTCAACAACAGAACCCAGGTAGGAGTAGCTGACACAGAGCCAGGGAAATGTATCCTGCAACAGTCAGCTCCACTGCAAGACTGTAGGGCAGATAAAGACTAAAGATGGTTATGAGGGCAAACAAACATACAGTCAGCATAACTTAGATCTATTCAGGAACTGTATTTTTGCATGGATTAGATTGAGCACTAGTAAGGAGAAATTTTGCCAGGAAAACAATGAATTCCGCAATCATGCCATGACAACTGTCTTCTTCCTCAAGTGATTTTTGAGTAAGGTACAATGGAGGCAAAATAAAACACAGAAATACTTTCACTGAGGTTTGTACCCAAGCCTTAAAGTAGACTCCAGGAAGCTAGAGGGAGAAGGTTCCATATATGTCATGCAGAAGTTTCCTTATATGCCAGGTAAGCCAATTCCTCAAACCAAAGTAGGCTACATGGCTTTCTCTCTTAATTCCCTATTCTTGCAATAGCTCTTCCAAATTTGCAATTTATGATATGCATAGACAAAAAGGCAAAATAAGCTAAAATTGAAGGGAACCCTCAGCCTTCAATCCGTATGCACAGTTTTTGGTGGTACTTTTGATAGTGACTTGGAAGTGAGAATGCATCACTAGAAACAAGGTTATTGTGATTTTCCAAACTTCACAGTTTGCAAAGTATTTTTATTATGTGCACTCTTGTGAACCTCATCACAACCTGACAAGGTTAGAAATCACTATTGCTGATATTTTATAAATGAATGCTAAGAATCTGTCCATTGTTGCTGCATGAGGAGCCAGGATTCCACTTCAGATCTCAGAATTATTTACTCTATAATTTTTCCATGGTACTAGGCTGCTTTTCTAACTCTGGCACTCCTGCCTGTTATTGTACACCCAGTAAAAGAGCATTCACATCCTCATTTCTGTATAAAAAGACCAGTATTGCAAGTAAAACCAGTTAGTACCAGAACCTATAACTGTTATTTATAAAACTTAAAATTAAAGCATGTGATATTCAAGAACATTATTTCCTTCTAAAAAATAACTTTACTCATTCTTAAAAAGCCAAAGGAAACACCCATCTAGTTTGATCTATAAATCCCCATATTATTTTTTTCCATTTCAATCTTGGCCTTCATTCTTCTAGTTGCATAAATAACTGGAGCATTTCTGAGAGGATTAGGGAACAAGCTTTAGAAAGTAAAAGAGAAAATGTTAGGTCTCCTCTCAGAGGATAAGTGTATTAGAGTTAATTGGGATGCTTGAACCAGAGGTTGGTTTTAATATGCCTCTATTTCCTTCCATGGCTCTCAAGACAGAGCTAACTCATGGCTCACAAGACAGAGCTAACTTACTCATCTAATTTGTCCTTCCATCAGGGTGGTGCTTCCATATATGATGATTGGACCATTGCAGGTGTTCCTGAAATGAACAGATTCTTGAGGTCCACCTCGGATCGACTAAATCAGAATTTCCATGATTGGACCCTTGATATTTATGAGCACTTAAGTCAGAAATACTGCTAGAGAGAGATTAACCTGATTCTGCATGCAGGAATAAACCTTTTATTGAGGAACTAATTTCTCAATATGTCAAGTTTTTGGCAGCTTTCTGTAGCATCTATTAGAATGAATCAACATTAATGAAGGCTTGCTTCTTTGGGCCGTGTAACCTTTTGTCTCAGAGGATTTGGAATATTAGATTCTTACCTCTCTTCCCAATGGCAGAAAAAAAAAATGAGTTTGAGAGATGAAAGGACAGAATAGCATTTTTTATCAAGTCAATTGTTATTTTCTACTTAACCTCTCTAATCTGCTTATTTTGGGGGAAAATAAGCAACTGTATTCTTTGTCAAGATTATTAAATCCTAAATTGTGTCCATATGCATGTGGCTTCTACTTGATACAATCAGAAAGAAAATAACACCTAAGCCAACAATCTCCAACTATTTCCAGTGGGGATAAAACAGTTTTAAAGTCTTCGAATAGCAAATATTGCTTAGCCATTAGCTTTGTAAAGATTGAGGAAAAAATTAAAAAGAGAACACTGAAAAACCCTTTGAAACGTTCAGTTATGGTACAACTCCACCCAATGGATTTCTGCTGAATTTCACTTGTGTTGAGAAGCACTGTATATACTAAATGCCATCTGAATTTATACTTAATTAATTATAGTTATGTAAAAAGTAAAGTATTAGTTATATAAATAGAGAAAGAATTGGAAGAGAATACATCCAGATATAAACAGATTTTGGTATGTATGGAAAATCTGGATAAAATATATATTCTACTTTTAAAATACTTTCTACATTTTCATTTATCTATCTGTATCTATTTTACATCTATTTAAACTTAGTGAAAAAGTTCAATAAGCATAATTTTACAAGAAACATTTTATGGATATAAAATGTGAAACATGTGGAAGGGCAATTTTTAGGCTGTCTTCACCATAAAAAGGTTACGCGGCTTTAGCTCTTGTATCATGTTTTTAATTAGTTGTGACTTGTAATCTAATAGTTCAATAAAATAGAAGTGAGATAATTGCATTTTACTTCCACCTTTTCCATTAACTTGGTTTGCTATTATGGACAAATAATTTAATATCTCTAGTTTCTTCTTCAGTGAAACGCAAACAACTACATTAACTTTTATTTTCACTCTAGCATCAAGAACTAATTGAGGCAATGACTGGAAAGAATCACAAGTACGTGAAGAAAATATTTATTAACATTCTGCAAGATAACATTATTACTTTATTTCTTGGAGCAGTTTATAAATACTAGCAACTTAACCCACTCTTTGATAAATAAACCCAAATAAGCAATTTTGGTAAAAAATAAGCAAGATCATGATAAAATCAATAAAAATGAATAAAATAAGTAGCAATGGAAATTTGTTACTTGAGCATAAGAAATTATTTGATATGCCTCATGAATTGGTTAAGATGCTAAAAGGAGCTTAAGCTGCTAAACAAACAAAATCTAAATATAGTGGCTTAAATAACATAGAAGTTAATTTTTCCTTTTACTTAGGGTTTCTCTGAAGATGAGCATCCAGACTGGCAGGGGGACTATGTCACTCAAATTTCACTGGTAAGAATTTATTCATATAGCTAGACTTTGCTGCAAGGGAGGCTGAAAAATGTAATCCTTAAGTGGTGTACTCCATTGTCCAGGGAAAGAGGGGCAAAAGGGGGTTTTGTTTTGTTTTAGGCTAGCTAACATTCTTCTAGTTATACTTACATCTTGGTCTCTGAAAATAGTTCATGAAATCATTGCATCATTGGATGGAAACAATATCCTACATTTATTCCTCATTCCATCCCATGGCTTTAAGTTCCTTTAGTATGATGATTATTCCCAAGTTTATATTTCCAGCTTTAATCTCTGCCTTGAACTTCAGATTGGTACACTAAACAGTTTACTTACCCATTCACTTCGATGTCTAACATCTCAAATTCAACATGTCAAATCAGTTAATAGCATTAACATCCACCTAAAATCTGGAAGCCCGTTTTAATTCCTCTGCTTCAGATGAAGTCAATCACCAACACTTTCTTTTTGTCTTTCTTTCTGTGTAATAGAAACCATGAGTTTTAGATGAGCACCTGGCATCTCATCTACAGACCATATCTCTAGCTCCTTTTGTAGGAGGCAGATGGGGTTCAATGACTAATCTCTTTTCAGTGGGATATACGCTGAAGCCATCATGCAACTTTCAGATCATGCTTATTAAAAAAGTGGAGCAGCAACTAGAACTTTATACATAGCTGGTGGAAATGCTTTGGAAAACAGTTTGACAGTTTCTTATAAAGTTAAATATAAACTTACCATACTACTCAGCAATTCTGGTACTAGATGTTTACTCAAGAGAAATTAACAATTCATCCAAAGGAAATGACAATGCTTCCACACAAAGACTTGCACATAAATGTTTACAGCATATTTATTAATAATAGACACAAACTGGATACAATTAAATGTTCATTAAAGAGTAATTATATAAATAAATTATGTTATATTTATCCAGTAGAATAGTCCTCAGTAATGACAGGGAACAAACTGGTGACACACATATTAACATGGGTAAATCACAAAAATGTTATGCTGAGTTAAAGAAGACTTACATGGGAGAGTACAAATTGTGTGATTCCATTTATAATGAATTCTAAAACCAGAAAAATTATTCCTTAGTGGCTAAAAGCAGATCAGTGGTTTCTTGGAGCTTCAGGTGGGTGAGGGTATTGATTGCAAGTGCATAGGGTAGGCAGAAACTTTTTGGGAATTTTATGTATAGATAAATATATCTATATTTATCTTGGAGCTTCATGTAGGTGAGAGTATTGATTTCAAGTGGATGGGATAGGCAGAAACTTTATAGGATTGTAGATATAGATAAGTCTTGATTTATATATATATTTACTTGATTTATCTACATATAAAATTCTAATATATCTTCATTCTAGTAGTAGTTACACAGACATACAGCATATATTTGTCAAAGTCATTGAAATGTAAAATTTAACATATTTGTGATTTATTGTATGTAAAGTATATATATCTGAATAAATTTGATGAAAAGAAAGATGACTTTATTTACAGTACAGACCAATGGTAATAATTAAAAGTCAATCATGTTCCAAAAAGGCAATTCTCAGCCTACCAACCAAAAAAAGCCCAAGGCCAAACGGATTTCCAGCTAAATTCTACCAGAGGTACAAAGAGGAGCTGGTACCATTCCTTCTGAAATTATTCCAAACAATAGAAAAAGAGGGGCTAATCCCTAGCTCATTTTATGAGACTAGCATCATCCTGATACCAAAACCTGGCAGAAACACAACAAAAAAAGAAAATTTCAGGCCATTATCCCTGATGAACATTGATGCAAAAATCCTCAATAAAATACTGGCAAACCAAATCCAGCAGCACATCAAAAAGTTTATCCACGATGATCAAGTCAGCTTCATCCCTGGGATGCAAGACTGGGTCAACATATATAAATCAATAAATGTGATCCATCACATAAACAAAACCAATAACAAAAACGACATGATTACGTCAATAGACGCAGAAAAGGCCTTCGACAAAATTCAACATCCTTTCATGAGAATGACTCTCAATAAACTAGGTATGCATGGAACATATCTCAAAATAATAAAAGCTATTGTTGACAAACCCATAGCCAATATCATACTGAATGGGCACAAGCTGGAAGCATTCCCTTTGAAAACCGGCACAAGACAAGGATGCCCTCTCTCACCACTAGTATTCAACATAGTATTGGAAGTTCTGGCCAGGGAAATCAGGCAAGAGAAAGAAATAAACGTATTCAAATAGGAAGAGAGGAAGTCAAATTATCTTCATTTGCAGATGACATAATTGTACATTTAGAAAACCCCATAGTCTCAGCCCCAAAACTGCTTAAGCTGATAAGCAACTTCAGCAAAGTCTCAGGATGCAAAATCAATGTGCAAAAATCACAAGCATTCTATAAACCAATAACAGACAGAGAGCCAAATCATGAGTGAACTCCCATTCACAACTGCTACAAAGAAAATAAAATACCTAGGAATACGACTTACAGGGGATGTGAAGGACCTCTTCAATGAAAACTACAAACCACTGCTCAAGGAAATAAGAGAGGACACAACAAATGGAAAAATATTCCATGCTCATGGATAGGAAGAATCAATATCATGAAAATGGCCATACTGCCCAAATTAATTTATAGATTCAATGTTATTCCCATCAAGCTACCATTGGCTTTCTTCAAAGAATTAGAAAAAAAAAAACAACTACTTTAAATTTCATATGGAACCAAAAAAGAGCCCGTATAGCCAAGATAATCCTAAGCAAAAAGAAGAAAGCTGGAGACATCACACTACCTGACTTCAAACTATACTACAAGTCTATGGTATACTACAAAGGCTATGGTAACCAAAACAGCATGGCACTGGTACCAAAACAGATATATAGACCAATGGAACAGAAAAGAGGCCTCAGAAATAATGCCACATATCTACAACCATCAGATCTTTGACAAACCTGACAAGAACAAGCAATGGGGAAATAATTCCCTATTTAATAAATGGTGCTAGGAAAACTGGCTAGCCATATGCAGGAAACTGAAACTGGACCCTTTCCTTACACCTTATATAAAAATTAACTCAAGATGGATTAAAGACTTAAACATAAGATCCAAAACCATAAAAACCCTAGAAGAAACCTAGGCAGTACCATTCACGACATAGGCATGGGCAAAGACTTCATGACTAAAACACAAAAAGGAATAGCAACAAAAGCCAAAATTGACTAATGGGATTTAATTAAACTAAACAGCTTCTGCACAGCAAAAGAAACTATAGTCAGAGTGAACAGGCAACCTACAGAATGTGAGAAAATTTTTGGAATCTATCCATCTAACAAAGGTCTAATATCCAGAATCTACAAGGAACTTAAATTTACAAGAAAAAAAAACATCAAAAAGTGGGTGAAGGATATGAACAGACACTTCTCAACAGAAGATATTTGTGTGGCCAAAAACATGAAAATAAGCTCATCATCACTAGTCATTAGAGAAATGCAAATCAAAACCACAATGAGATACCATCTCTCACCAGTTAGAATGGCAATTATTAAAAAGTCAGGAAATGACAGATTCTGGCAAGGCTTTGGAGACATAGGAACACTTTTACACTGTTTGTGGGAGTGTAAATTAGTTCAACCAATGTGGAAGACAGTGTGGCAGCTCCTCAAGGATCTAGAATCAGAAATACCGTTTGACCCAGCAATCCCATTACTGAGTATATACCCAAAGGATTATAAATCATTCTACTATAAAGACACATGTACACATATGCTTATTGCAGCACTATTTACAATAGCAAAGATTTGGAACCAACCCAAATGCCCATCAGTGATAGACTGGATAAACAAAATGTGGCACATATACACCATGGAGTACTATGCAGCCATAAAAAAGAATGAGTTCATGTCCTTTGCAGGAACATGGATGAAGCTGGAAACCATCATTTTCAGCAAAGTAACATAGGAACAGAAAACCAAACACTGCATGTTCTCACTCATAAGTGGGAGTTGAACAGTGAGAACACATGGGCACAGGGAGGGAAACATCACACACTGAGGCCTGTCAGGTGGTCGGGGGCAAGGGGAGGGAGAACATTAGGACCAATACCTAAGGCATGTGGGGCTTAAAACCTAGATGGTGGGTTGAAAGGTGCAGCAAACTACCATGGTACATGTATACCTATGTAACAAACCTGCATGTTCTGCACATGTATTCCAGAACATAAAGCAAAATAAAAAAGAAAAGAAAAGAGGTAATTCTCAAAAATAGAAATACAAACTGTCATTAGAAAATGTTGAAGCTTATTATAAAAGAAATGCAAATTTAAGACATGATCTTCACATATTAATTATTAAATAAACAAACAAGGGTGTGCTTTCATTTTCTGTCTTTCTTCTTTGAGTCTCATTGGCTTGAACGCTAGCTTGATGGCAGGAGCTGGGTCATTTATCTTAGACCAGTAAATACAAAGTGACATGTTGAGAAAGGCAGAACAGCACAATGGAAGGAGCCTAGGTACCTTTTACCCTCTGGACACAACTAAATTCTGGATTGTGTTCACTTACATGCTAAGTGAGAGAGAGGTCAACGTTTATTTTGTTTAATCTATTGCTATGTCGGATCGTGTCATAGTAGCCATCCTGCATTCTAATGCAGTGATTGAGTCCTTAATACCATAACTTAGTGATTGTCTTTTCTGGAAGATTGCATTAATATTCTCACTGATCTCCCTGTCTTTAACTCTCTATAGCCAATGTCCTCTGGTTGCCAATGTTATCTTATAAAAATATAAATCAGTTGTCACTCCTCTGTTTAAAGCCTGTTCGTAACTCCCTATATTAGTTGGCATGGGATGCAAACCCCTTATTTTGGCCTTCATCTCCTATCTTACTGCCTATCCCTCCATATAGTCTTATCTCCTAACATTTTCACCACATTTAAACCACACTCTCATTTGTTCCACCCTAGGATATTGATGTTCCTCTTCTAGAAACATTCCAGACTTTTGCATGGCTTGCTCCTCATTTAACGTGGCTCTTTGCAAATGTTGCTCAGAGAGGTTTTCTGTGACTATTCCACCTAAAATAGGATCTCATCCTAGAAAGGTGTCTGTTGATCTGTTTTATTCTCTTGATGAAATAAACTAAAACCGGTGTATATTTTTCTATCCCATACAATAGAAACTTAATGAAAACAAATAGGTTGTTACTTGTGTTCAAGGTGCCAGCTTCCAAAACAATACCTGGCATACGGTAGGTATCCAATGGCATGTTTGAATTAATAAATGAATGTTCCTTAATTCAGCGTAGTTTGAATCATTTTAAATTGTATCTTCAGGGTCATCCATAAATACACGTGGGTCATCCTTCACTCCTCAGCCTCTCATCTAGTTAATTCCAAGTCCATTGATAAGATTTTGATAACTAATAGCTCCTTTCACTTCCCTTCAGCTTTGCTTCCTCTGCTTTGGCCTAGTCCATTAGTATCTCCTATACAACAGCGATGACCTCTTAATGAATCTTCCCTTCACGGAATTGTATGACTTCCTTCCACCTCTTCTCTCTTTCTCCACGTCTCTTGAGTCCCTTGTATGTTTCAGTAATGCTAGAAATTTTTAGATTCTCTATGCTTATATTCTAACTCACTGCAGGGAAATTTGTATATGCTTTCTTTTTTCTATCCAGAACAGTAATTTCACCCACGCTCCATACCAGTATGATGTTCCTACGCAACAGACTAGGCCAACATTGAACATCATTGTGACTGAAAATCATTATGCTACATTGAACATCATTATAGATTATGCTAAGAAGTCTTTGTTGAGCCCCAACTATTGAGCAAGTATCCTTTTTCTGATAATATTCTCACAGTTTTAGCAGTTATTATTCTGAATTCTTGTCTGTGTCCCTCATCTAGCCTATATTTTTCACAAGTACAGAATACAAATCTTTCTGTTCATAGTTATGCCCATTATCTGTAAGAATGCCTAAAGCATAGTAGGTCCTCAATAAGTGTTTGGTGAATATCTGAATGAGCATTACCTTCACCAAAGCTAGCCATGTTAGGTGCATTGTAATTTTCTGAATTAATGTGAAAATGGGTACATGGGTAATATTAACTCACAATGGGCATAAGAATGATACCTTTCTTATGGACAAAGTTGTGACAAATCTTTTGAAATATTGTGGCAGTAACTTTCCCAAAGGTAAGGCAGTTATTATAAAATATTTTACAAAATCTAATGAAAAATCTGCCCTTGGGGATTGGAACTGTAAGAGAATAAAGTTGATGAAAGAAAATTACTGTTAGACATCTCATGTCAAACAAACCTTGTAACTCTTGTTTTGTGCCTCCTAGCTTGAGTGCATAAGAGAAAAATGCAAATTTTCCAAATGAAGTACAGCAAACAGTGCATAAATCTCAAGAAGACAGTATGATACACTTATTGAAACTTGGCAAGGACCAGAAATAAATGACTTTTTCTCTGAAATGCCAGCTTTTTTCTTTTTAAGATGAGCTTTTCCCTAAAGCTATATCAATTATAAATAATTGTTTGCTGGCAAAACTGGCACAGCTAAACTTAAAGCAAATAAACTAAGAAACTTAAGTGATTAAAAAATAAACAAGAGATTTTAGCTTTTTTTTGAGGAGATGACTTCAAAAGCATGCTAGAACAACTCACTTATATATGCCTATGCAAGAATATTAATTTGCAATTATGAGAGTTACAGATCAACGCTCTACTGCTGTTTAAAAGAATTCTCTGGGAATCTATACTTTGGAGTTTCCTTATAAAGAAAGTTACTTTGGTTTTACTTTATGATTCTTCTGGTAGTCATTTAAGTCAGGGTTCTCTGTTCTGCACAACCAAAACAATCCATCCTAGTTTAAGTAATTAATAAGGGAATTTTATTTTAAAGATGCAGGAGTGTATCATTTTTGGATGTAGCTAGTCTTCAGGAAGGGGAAAATTTCCAGAAAATCTGAAATCTGTCTCTCATCTTTGCTTCCTTCTCTCCCTGCCTCTACTTCCATCCTTTATTTTTTCTTTTTTTACCTTTTATCCTTTCTTTCTTTCTTCTGTCCAAATGACAGAATATTTTTGCCCCATGATTTTCTCTCTCAATCTCAATCTCTTATTCTCACAGGAGAGTATCTGACTGGTTCAGTTTGGACTCCTGTTCAATAAACCATTACAAGGGTAGGTTGGGTCACATAATGAAACATGGCTGCCAAGACTGACAGATTGTTGGCAGGCAAAGGCAGGAGGAAGAGTGGCAGATTATTGTTGTCCACCATATCTGCTTATCAATCCTTGGGTGGAACTAAGAAACACTAACCTTATACAGTTATGCACCATGTAAGTTTCAGTCAGTGACGGGATGACATATACAATGGTGGCCCCATATGATTATAATGGAGCTGAAAAATTACTTATCGCCTGGGGATGTCTTGATGATCCTGACTCTGTGTAGGGCTTGGGTAATACATGTGTTTGTGTCTTAGTTTTTAACAAAAACAGTTTTAAAATTAGAAGGAATAAATAGAAAAAGGCTTATAGATAAGTATATAAGGAAAAAAAATTTTGTGTACATCTGTACGATGTGTTTGTTTTGAGTTGTCATTACAAAAGGGTCAAAAAGTTTAAAAAAATTATAAGTTTATAAAGTAAAGTTACAGGAAGGTAAGGCTAATTTATATTAAAAGAATGAAATTTTTAAAAAAAATTTAGGGTAGCCTAAGTTTATAGTGTTTATAAAGTCTATAGTACCTACTCACTCATCCAAAGCAACTTCCAGTTCTGCCAACTCTAATTACGGTAAGTGCCCTATATAGGTATTCCATTTTTTTTGTCTTTTATACTGCATTTTGGCAGTCCTTTTTCTGTGTTTACATATGCTTAGATACACAAATACTGACCATTGTGTTAGAGTTGTGTATAGTATTCAGTACAGTAGCATGCTATAAGGGCTTATAGTCTAGAAGCAATAGGCTATACCAAATAGCCTAGGTGTATAACATCTAGGTTTGTGTCAGTTCACTCTTTGATGTTTGTACAATGACAAAATAACCTAATCACATATTTCTTAGAACATATCCTCATCATTAAGAGACACATGATTGTATTAAATTGAGGTTATAGTGAAAATAATGTTATTTATGTTCAAATAAAGTGTTCTGTTTTTTGAAACTGACTTTCTAAAGACTCCATCATGTGAATTGTGTCTTCACCTTCTCTGGACCCATATATACACCAACAATTTAAAAAGTTTTGTATTAGGAATGTTGATATTGGCAATGCAAGCTTCAATGACCAGTGCTAGTTCTTCTTTTTTACCAGCTGATGTAGTGCATGCTTGTCTGCAGTAAATGCATGAGAACACTGAGAAGAATAGATGATTACAGGAATAAATTCATTCAGGTTGCCAACCTCATTTGCAGAGACCCTGCAGTAAAAACACTGCTGGATAAAGAAGGTCACATATGGGTTTTATATTGGTCTATTTTAGGAATGCTGAATGAATGCCTCTCTCAATACTATGTCTTCTGTAGTTTCTCCGAGAAATCCTTGGACAATTTAAACTTTTCCTTCAGCTCTGGTTACTATCTGATTACATGCTGATGGTAACCTAATATATATGGTTGTCTCCTAAGTAACTAGAGCTATGTCATATTTTTGTATTCCTCCCTACTGCTATTGCAAAAGTAAAAACTCAGTCTGCCCTGCCTTCTTGACCCCACTCTCTGTGAGCTTATTTATTCTCTTGCTCTTCCACGGCTGGTTATCAGTACCATCTACTTATTTACCAAGCTATCAAATGTAGAGACAAGCAGCTCTGTTCCATATTCCTAGCTAACCATGTATCTGTACTTTCCAAGCCCTATTGAGAGTTTACAAAATCCTTTGAAACTGTTTCACTTGGCCTCTGCCCTCTGCCTTGATTTATTCAAGACTTATTATTTCTATCTTGGACTAATATAACCATATTTTAAAAGTGTCTCTTGTCCTCCTCTTTTCCACTTGCTCTATTTTTACATTGCCACCAGAATTACCCTTGAAAGATGCGGCTATACACATACTGAGATGCTTAAAGATCTGCTTTAAAAATTATTTGAGGGTATTAAGAGGAGAGAAGAAAAGAAAATTTCACAGTTTCCATTGTGAATAGGGTAACATTCAAAGTGCTTTTTAATGTGCTCCTAGCACAACTTTTCATTCTTATCTTTTTGCCACATATACTATGTTTGAACCAACTAGAAATTCTGCCCATGCCACAAACATGTAATGCTCCCATTCTTTTTGAACGTAGTACTTAATACATTACATATTAATTAGTTGCAAACTCTCACTTGAATTACTCAAGGACAGAGACGGTGTCTTTGTTCACCTTTGTACCTATCTTAGGGCCGTGCCTGGAATAGAACAGGTGTTGAATAAATGTTGATTAAATTTAACTATGCTCATTCAACAAGGCTATACATTTATTTTTCAATTTGGAAGACACTGCACATTGCAGGAATCGAAAATTTATCATAGGCCCTGATGATTCTCCTCCATTTGTGAAGCATCAGTAATAATTGCCTTGTGTTATGAAAATTTATTTGCTTAGAAATTCTGTGTCATGGATGATAGGCAGAAATTACAAAGCCGAGAAAAATTATAAAAGGCCAATGTCACCTCTTAACTCTAAGTTTCTTTTTATTCTTCCTCAAGTTTAGCCATTCGGATGCATTTAAATATATTTATATCATACTAATTTGGTTTTTGCTAAGGATTTTTTGTAATTTTATGTTGTCTCTAAAGCTCAGTTTTCTTGACAAGTTGAAAAACCCCATACATATGTAATAGGATGTTATATTTAGCATTTACCAAGGCATAAAGAAAGTAGATGCTTCATGTAAAAGTAAAACCACATTTCAGGGCTTGTAAAAAAGGAGATGGTAGGAATTTGGTTTTGCTACCTTGAAATGCCCACAAACTTTTGCCTATAAAAGAATCTGAAGGGCCAAAGAGCAAATGGAAATTGAGAGAATACTTCTGGAAAGCTGCAGATATGATATTTGTCCCATTTTCTTCCAAAGGTTTGGTATTATCAAAATATAATTGCAATACTTAAAAACAAGATATTCTTTAAGTAGAGAATATACATGTGATACAGTTTAATTCATTAAGGACGGAATTATTAGAATGGTAAAGCTGGTTCAAAGAAAATTTGGTAGCTGACTGTATATAGGAATTGAGATAAAATATTAGTATGAGATTTCTAGGTTAGATACAAAACTGGTTAAAGTTGTATAGTGCAATAAAACCATTAGCTTTGAAATTATTTTATTTAAAGGAAAGACATTATTTACATATCCAGATACAAATGATATGAAAAATGCAGGTGAAAAAATCTTCAAATAAACATACAACATTACACAGAGACTTTATCAATAGTTAATGATAAGAAAAGCAACACTTTTTTTTAGAAAATCATGTAATGCTCAGATTATCTTAAACAGTATTCTAGTATGGCATTGAAAAGACATGCTGTTTTTGGCTTTACCTTATTTCTAAGTTTTGGATAATGCTTGTTTACAGTCCCTGACCCTTATTTCAAGCTTAGTAAAATGAGTCATGTAAATCTGTGCTCTTAATTTCTGCATTGCCGGTAATTTTTATCTCTTTAAATTGAATATCTCCAGTTCAGAAAACTTGTATTCAAACCTTGTCTCCACTGTGGCACAAAGAAGCATGAGTTTGGAAAAACCCTCAGGAATACTGTGCTCTTGATATAGTTGTGGTAAACTGTGTGCGGCATTGCTGGTGTGCCAGTTAAACGCATTTTACTTCAGTGGAGAGAATATCATCTCTCTAGAGCTGTAATTGTTTTGACATGTTTCATTTCATTTTGTCACTAATCATCATTCTGAAAGACAAGCACTTCATACTTTTTATTTTACTATGTGACTTAGCATAGGCTTAGTTTTTGTCTCTGCTTTGCCTTTTCATAACTGTGCATAAGCTATTTTTCTAAATATAAGATAATGTTCTTTTAATGCTTTCAAAAAGTGCAAGAATACTTTATACATTATTTTTATGAGTTTAATTTTACTATTGTGTAAGTAAATGCATTGTAAGAATCATTTTTTGGAGTAAAAGTCCTTTGTAGAAGTGAGGAGAAGTTATTTGCAAAATAATCTTTACTGGGACATAATTGACATGTGTTTACTGTTCTCTCTGGACTGTTTCTTCCTCTAGTGGCCCATGTCTTTCTCTTTCCTTGCATTCAGATACTTCCCTGGCCATCTACCCTAAAACAGAACTCAATTAGTTTCTATTTCTTTATTTGGCTTTAGTTTTCTTCATAGCAGCTGACATGCATTTATACTTGTTTATTGCCTTTCTGCTCCTGTTAAAATATATTTGAAAATAGGAGGGGCTTTGACGATTTCTTCACTCCAGTATTTTTGGGATCTAGGAAATGGACTTTCAATAAATATTTGTGGAATAAATAAATAAATGAATAGATCAGTAAATGGACGAAAGCTGAAAATATCTTTGGTAATTTGAAGAGCGCGCCTGTATGGGAAATAGTCTGTGCAAGAAAACCAGTAGTATCGCACATCCACCTGAAACTAGTTCTTGTATTAAAGTTAAAGGAAGGACGTGGTAAAGTTATACCATGAACACGTTAATAGCAACCATCATAGCCACACCAGCACCACTGTTTCTTACTGTTTATTAAGCACTCAATATGGGCCTGGCTTAGAGCTAAATACTTAATATTTATTGTTTCATTTACTCTTCCATACTACATTACGTATGGACTAACTGTACTGTTATCTCATTTAAGCAGTTAGACTGAGCATTGTTACTTGCTCATGGTCACACAGCAGGTAAGTTGTGGCAGTACTGGCACTCAATCTTGAATCTGCCTGACTCCAAAATCCAGACTTATAACCAGAAGACTACCATTGTCTTCTCTTATCCATAGTGGTTGTAATCTTATATAATTGAATATGCCAAGTGAAATCATTATTTTTTTTTAAATGGGTATTGGCAGGCATAGTAATGTCAAAAGTAATGGTGTAAAGATTAGTACATTAACTGTAATAGTTAGGATTGTTAGTCTGGTACCGAGACAGATGCAATGTGGTTAAGCATAGAAGCCTATACAGTGCAGTACCAACCACACATCCTACTTGCAGTATTTAAAAAGGGAGATAAAAAACAGCATATTTAGGAAGCCAAAGATAAATTCACTACAGGTGCAGCTTTGTTCGGAAGAGTTGAGTTGAGAATTGTGGGTTAACTGTGTGTGTGTGTGTGTGTGTGTGTGTGTGTGTGTGTGTGCATATATTTGCTTTTGCTTTTTGTTTTATACCCATTAGACTCCACGGGTCATGTATTCGGTACAAAGAAAAGAGAGTTCTGGACTTTTGAAGAGACCTGGAATCTCTATTGACTTTGCCTATGGTAGCCATTGATAAATCATTTAAACATAGCATAAATGTGGGAGTTCTGAGACTAAACTCCTTGAATTAATTTGTAGGTCTGCCATTTGCTAGCTTTGTAATTTTGGATTAAGATAGTCAAATTTTTTGTGCCTTAATTTTTTTAGATTTAAGCTGGCTTGCTATGAGGAAGAATCAAATATGACATATAAGTCTCTCACTTGTGCTTGGAATATGACACATGCTCAGGTTTAGCACATACATAATCTCCAAGATCCTCTCTGGCGGAAAGCTTCCAGAGCCTGTTGAGTTTTTCCGCCCTTTTCCTTCCTGTGATCACCATTCTCTCTCATTTCGCAGGCTCCTTTTCGCCCTCTGCCGGCGGACAGTGGCAGAACCCAGCTTTCTGGTTGCTATGGGTACCGAGGTAACGCGGTAACCAAGGAGACCAAGACGGAAACTCCCGGCAGCTATCCGCGGCCATCCGGCGGTGGTGACGCGAGAGGCTGGGGTCTCCAGGTGGGTTGTCTGTCTGCGGGTGGATGAGAGGGGAGGATGGTCTCTGAGTCCGCCTAGCGGGCAGCAAGCCCGGGCTAGTTGGTGCGGGGAGCAGAGCGGGCAGCGCGGCTGGGAAGCAGACTCAGCTCGGGTGGAGCTGGAGGCACCGGCCCAGCAAGTGTTTGCTGAGCCCCTGCCATAGGCTGACATAGTGCCAGGCCTGCAGGCAGCAGGACGGGGCCCTGGCCTCAGGAGTTGAAAGCCTTTGGTATACACCAAAGACTTCCCAGCCCAAAATGCTAATGGATAAATGAATCAAGAGTGAACCCCAGACAGTGAAATTGGGGACTTCATCAGTTGTACCCCTTCTGCAGCCCGACCCTTTCAAATACTAGCCCCTTTTATCCTTTGAAGTCATTTGCACCTTATGAAAAATTTGGCACCCTGAGAAACCATATTTCATCCCCTTTTGTAGCCTTTAGTCTGCCTGCGCGTTCACATGCACCCACTTACTTCTTGAAGTCTACTCCTCACAAGTAAGGGCTATGGTGCGGGGTGCCCGATTCCTGAGAAATCTGAAGATGTGGAAGTTTATTTTTTCTTCCCAAAATCAGCAGTAGAGGGACTCAGGTATGTAAGGTTCAGTTATATATATTTTATAGCTTGACTTAAAATCTAAAGTTAACAAGGCTCATTAAAAAATATAGTAAAGTTGAAACTACACAGGATTAAAATTATACAAACTGTATGCTTATGCAAATGTAATGACTCCCTCTGCCTTTCTCCAATTTAGCTTATCTTATAGTCTACACAGAGGGCTGCCCTGACCTGTCATAATTTTACCAATTGTATTACAAATGAATTGTTTGAAAGTAGTTCCTTTATGTCTTTCAAGACACTTAATAATTCTTGCAATTATTTTATTCGCTTTTTAATTTTTACCTACTTCCTTCACCAGAGTGTAAGTTCAGTGAAGACTGGTATTATACCTGTCTGGTTGACCTTGATCCTCAGTGCTTAACCTGACACCTGGCAGGGAGAGAGTGTTCAATGTATATTTGTTGATTGCTCATCAAGATCGTTAGGAAACATGGAAAAAAGAAAACAAAAAGTTTAGTTGAAGTGGGAAAGAGGGCGTGTTTAATTTTTTCCGTAGGGTAGGTTGTGCAAAAAACTAAAAGCAGTAGAAAAAAAATTACATACTTAGCACATTATTATTGGCACTACATTATGTATAGGGACTGTATTGATTGCTGGGGTTTCAAAGGTCAATGGTAGGACCACTCTCAAATATTTGGGCTACTTAGGGAAACAAAATCTATATAAACAAAGATGCAAAAAATAACACAAGGTAACATACAATAGCAAATGAGTTTAATAAACATGGTCTTTCTATACAAGGAGAAGCTCGGTTTCGATGGAGGGAATCTTCATGATACAGGCAGCCTTCGAATTGAGCATTGAGTAGAATAAAACTTGGTGAGCAGAGAGGTAAACACTAAAGCTCATTATGTAAAAAAGATGAAAGCAGAGATGCTAAGGGTAAAGCACAATCTTGATGCTCCATTTTCTTCTCTAGGTAGTTTCTAAGGCTGTGCCTTCTCTAGGTAGTTTCTAAGGCTGCCCCTTTCCCTGAACCGTGAGCTCTCTGGAGGTCTTATAGAAGCCCACAGCTTGACAAGTCAAGTCACAAATCAGACACCTTTTGTTTAATATCCTGCAAATTAGAGGGGGAGAGGATCCTTACCATTTTCTACATGGATAAGCTGAAGCTCAGAGATTTCTATCACACAAAGATCTTATGACTTTAAATCCAGTGAATTTAGTCTACCTAGGTTTTCTGACCTTAAATTCAGTGCCTTTTAATATTGTTTATTATTTTTAATCAAAAGTATTTTAAAATGGTATCTTGTCCCTTGATATCTAAAGGCAAAGTTTCTCAGTTGTTCTCAAGAGAACCTGCCTATAGAGCATAAAAAATGGGCAACTTGGGTACCATTTAGCACCTTGAAGCAGTATTTTACTATCAGATATCTTGTTTGGCTGAAAGATTGAATGCAACCTGAAGTCAATACCTATATTAGTCCATTCTCACACTGCTATGAAGAAATACCCAAGACTGGGTTATTTACAAAGGAAAGAGGTTTGATTCACAGTTCTGCAGGGCTGGGGAGGCCTCAGGAAACTTATAATCATGGCAGAAAGGAAAGCAAACACATCCTTCTTCACATGGTGGCAGGAAAGAGAAGGATGACAGCTAAGTGAAAGGGGATAGCCCTTATAAAACCATCAGATCTCATGAGAACTTACTATCACGAAAATAGCGTGGGGGAAACTGTCCCCATGATTCAATTATCTCCTACCAGGGCCCTCCCACCACATGTGGGAATTATGGGGATTACAATTCAAGATGAGATTTGGGTGGAGACACAGCCAAACTATATCAATACCTGCTTTACTTTTAGAGCTTTTGCTATGAGAATGTGGCACACATTTATTTAGTAGGACACTCCAGCACAAGATACTATTCTAGAAATCATGTATTATCAGTTCTTGCCTTATAATTTTTTAAATATTTTAAAAAATATATATATTTAAAATAAGGATAATTACAGATAGAAGAAATGTGAAAAGTAAAATTCTTTTAATTATTAAAAGCAACTATTTTAAATTCTCATTTAACATTTCTTTCTTGGGTCTCTGATTTCTAAGTACTATGGTACTAAATGCCTAAACATGTTAATTCACCCAAAGTTGTTTGCTAATTAGACCATTTCAAAATATTGCTACAGTAAGGGAAAATCCCTATTTATGGTATGGTTTTTAAGTCTTGTGCCTAGCATGATCTGAGTCATTAGAAGAATTAACTAAACTTAGATAAGTTTTCAGTTACAAAAAGTGGCCCATCTTGTAAACAGTGGTTTCCCAAACCTCCCATTCTGCCAATGGTGTTCTCTTGCACCTCTGGCTGAATGCTCTGAGTTTCTACCTGTATAGAGCATTGTACGTTCCTTGTTTCCATTCTGTGGCAGTAGGTTTTGATGTGTGGGTTGCTTTCTCAAAATAGGAACATGTGTAGAAGGATCATCAAACCATCATGGACAATTTTGGGTTATATTGGGTATTTTGTGTGAGGAAAAATGGGGTTGTAGACAGAAAAATAATGTAGTCTAATAAATCAGGTAACTAGAAATTTTTCCAAATCACTACTAAATTTTTGGTATTTAGTTATAAAAAAAACTGAATGACCAAAAGACACAAGGAAGTATAAGTTTTGCATAGTAAGGAGTTTATCTGTATTCCTCTGGTTTTATTAGGTGTCTAAAATTTTGTGCTTTGCTATTCTTGCTGCTGACATTGTTATATCCTTGCTATCCCCAGAAAGGTGACTAAATTCTCTGTTGGCTTTACAAAAGGAAACAGGCAGAATAATATGACTCAGAATTATAATCTCCCCTTTTTCTTCATACAAGGAAATTAGCTTATGTAGGTGACTAGATAAAATATGTAATTGAGAAGAAGCCTTACTAATTGCATTCAGTGAAGTGAAATCCCCCTTGAATAAGACCATTTATTGGTTAAATAACATTATCAGCAGAGCTATAAATCTGAGTCATCTTATTGTAATGAGATTTACAGAAGTTCGTTCATTTTTTGTATCAGTAAAATCAATCATATATCAGTTTAGCTTTATATATGTACATACACATAAAATTATATTGTATATCTCAATGTGTAAGCAAAATTATAGCAATTTAGATTATTTAGATTATTTTAATAATCAGACAGATTAACTTTGGAAATTATTTTATCTCTTTAATGATAATAATAACATTATGGAAGTTTTTGTGACAAAGTTATCAATTGTAGGCAAGAGGCCAGTATTTGGATTCCCTGAATATGATCAGAAAGCAATACAGATTCCATGTTATGGAGCAGGATTATTCCTGGAGGTTTTTGAAAGGTGCCTTTGGTAGCTGCTATTTGATGAAAATGGGACAAATATACTACCTACAAAAATGAGGGAGAAAAAAGAGAATTACATTTGAAAATGCTACCACCTCCCTCCCAAAAAGCAAACCAAATCTTAGTTTGCCATTCCTATGGTATCTTTATTTCTTGTTGACACTTAATTTAGCTTTGAGAGACAGGACTTGGTGGTTGAAAATTGAGTCTGAGTGAGACGCCTGCTGTAGATTCTTCTATCAAAATGCCCCATGATATTGTGGTTGCTTTTGTGGATTTCCCCTTGATTGTGAGGGCCTCAAGGGAAGACACCACGGCTTATTTGCCATCATGACTTCAATACCTGGGACCACTAATAGGGATCACAAAGGAACAGTTAAATACATGTTTGTGGATTGAAGGTACAAACATAACTAGTCCCATAAGGCAACCGCTACCTTATTTAAAATGTAGTAATTATTTTGTGTAATTCCATTTTGCAATTATATTTAGAGAATAAATTCCTAGAGAATTTCCTCCAAAATGGTGAAGATCTACCCTTTCAGGTTAGATTTAATTTTTGGAGATAGTCCAAGTAATTTGGAGGTAGGTTTGAGTGAAAAAAAAATAGTTGCTCCTATTGCACAATCATTTTTAATTTCAAATGAGGCACAACAAGATGAATTTGTGTGTTTGTTGGTGTATAATGGATTCTTTTTTTTTTCTTTTTTGAGACAGAGTCTCACTCTGTCACCCAGACTGGAGTGCAGTGGTGCGATCTTGGCCCACTGCAATCTCGACCTCCCGGGTTCAAGCGATTCTCGTGCCTCAGCCTCCCAAGTAGTTGGGATTACAAGTGTATGCCACCACGCCTGGCTAATTTTTGTATTTTTAGTAGAGATGGGGTTTCACCATGTTAGTCAGGCTGGTCTCGAACTCCTGACCTCAAGTCATCTGCCCACCTTGGCCTCCCAAGGTACTGGGATTACAGGTGTCAGCCACCGCGTCCAGCCATAAAATGGATTCTCTAGACAGTTTCAAAAGAGGCGTCCCAAAAATGTTTTCAATCAGTGGTTGCATCGTTGAAATATAAGATAGTCTCCCAAAGGAACAACGATGAAGAACCACTTATTTGGTTGTGTAGACTTTGATGTCACAATAGCCTTTTATTAGGTAACTCCAGTTTTGGTGCTGTCCTTCCTTAAGTCTTAGAGCAAAGCTTCTAGACTTACGTTTTCCCTGCTAAATCCCATTAGACTCTTGTTAGCTACAGAATAAATTCCAAATGCTATAAACTTGACATTTAAAGCCACTCATTATTGGGCCTCAGCCACTATATCTAAACTCATGTTTATTTTTTTTCTTCCACGTAACCTGCACACCAAGCAAGTGTAACTATTCATTAGTCCCTTATCCAAGAGCTATTCTTTCCAACAGTATGGATTGTTCATCTAATCCATATCTTTATCTGTAAGCCTCCTTTCTCCTTCAAAGCTTTACTTAAATGCTAGCCAGCTGAATTCTCTCTTTTCTTTCACTTCCTATATTATCACATGTATAAATTTTATAGCCCTTATAATTTTTACCTTGTTTTATGGCTTTTATATTTAGGGTCCTATATGCCCTATTTGACTCTAAACCATTTGAGCTCAGAAAACAAACCTCCCTGGGCCTTGACTCCTCTCCATACCTCTCAGCACATTGCCTTGTATATAGCAGAACCTTAATAAATGTTTATTGTGGTTATGAGCACACACATAGGAACACATATATAAATGACAGCATCAAATGGTGTGGGCATTTAAGTCTATGGTCACTATAATATTGACTCATATTTCTTTAAAAGCTCTTAGAACTTGGAAATTTTTATTCCTATAAAAATCTAATAGTTGTTCATGTGATTTAGTAATTCAGCATTACAGAGTAAATTATTATAGAACCATGAATAATTGGGATACTTGGGAAACAGGGTGTTCTGAATAATTTTATTTTCTGGTTAACTCAAAGTTAAGCAGAAAATCCTTTTTGTTTCTTGTTGAAAAATTCTTTCTAAAATATGCTAATTTCTGATCTGAGCCAAAGAGTATCATTAAAATTTTCTTTGATAAATGAGGATATTAGAATGCCTTTGGGTAATTATTACATACCTTAATTTTCATTTTATATAACCATATATATATATAAAAAGGATATTGGGTTTAGATTGTATCTCAAAGATTCTTTTCGTTTCTCTCTGCACGGCCTTGGATATTATTTTTAGATAGAACAAATACTTGGTATACTTTTATAGCCTTAGCAATAGAAAGAGCCAGAATATGTGCTTTAGTTTGTTTTAATGAATGTATCCTTCACTTTTAGTTGACTATTTCCCTAGTCTTTTGCTATACAGTTTACCCTTGAACATCATAGGTTTGAACTGTGCAGATCCACTTATAAATAATTTTTTAAAAAATAATAGTTACACTTGTGTGCCTGTCCCTCTTGCTTTCCCTTCCATGTCGTCTACCACTTCCATCTCTGCCACTCCTGAGACAGGACCAACTCCTCTTCATCTTCGTCTTCCTCAGCCTGCTCAATGTGAAGCCCCTGATCATGATTCACTTCCACTTAATAAATAGTAAATATATTTTCTCTTCTTTATGATTTTCTCAATAACATTTTCTGTTATCTAGCTTACTTTTTAAAAGAATATAGTATGTACATACATATAACATGCATAATATATTCATTGATTATGTTATCAGTAAGGCTTCTGATGAACAATAAGTTAATAGTAAAATTTGGGGGAAATTAGAAGTTGTACACAGATTTTTGGGGGATTGGTGCCCCTAACCCTTATGTTGTTGAAGGGTCAGCTGTACATAAATATTGGTGAAATTTTAATTCCATCAGACGTGTTACATTTCTAACTTTATTAGCACATAAATAGTTACATAACTTAAAATACAGTCATTTCTAGGTTTCCACAGGAGACTGGTTCCAGTAACTCCCTCACACCCTGCAAACACCAAAATCCTAGGATGCTCAGGTTCCTTATATAAAATGGCATAGTATTTGCATATAGCCTACACATAACCTACTGTATACTTTAAATCAGCTCTTGCTTACTTATAATACTTAATACAGTATAAATGCTATGTAAATAGTTGTACTTTTTTTGTATTTTTTATTCTAATATTTTTGATTATCTGGTTGATATGTGGCTGAAGGGGACAAAGGGCTAACAGTGTATAATTTTTGCTGTTTAAATTTTGATTCAGCCTTTTTGCTCATAAGGTTTTAAAAACATTCCTGAATTATATGGAGTTTTGAATTTGTAACTTATACTGCTTCACCTCTGCCATAATTCTTTTGTCTTTGTTACTTTTACAGAAGTGTTTACAAATCAGAATAACTTTTAGACAATATTAAGGTGGTAATCATGAACAGAAAAGATTTTGTAGTTCTTCCATGGGGAAAACCTGGAAATTCTGTAAAGCTAAAATATAGGTGAGTTCATATATATTTATTTCTTAATAGGAATAGTTGCAAAGCTTCTGTATATTGTAATTTTGACTATTTTGTGAATTCTTATCTTCATTTTTCACATTCCTGTATTTTTATCTATAAGAATATAGCTTTGAAATACTATAAATCTATAATAGTTTAAAAATGAGGATTAAAAATATTTATTCCACAAGAACCAATGTGACAAGTTATAAAGGTTTGGTTCATTACCTATTAAAGTAATACAACAGAATGTTAAACATATTTTTCATGGCCCTTATTCAAAGTTAAGTAAGGATTACCCTGAAATTTAGGGAGACTATTAGGATAAGAGACCCTAACCAGGAAATAGAAAGCACTACATACTTTAGCCCTTTACATAAAGGATGTTATGTTGAATTGACCTTTTCCAGGAGAGGTCTGTCCTAGATGACTGGGAGATGCATTCAGCCAGAGCCAAACAATTACTGGCATCCTGGGAATTTTATGACCTTGCAGGGGTATGGGAGAGTATAGCTCCCTGTTTGTCTTTGATGTCACCTACAGTCACTGGAAATACTTAGGGCTTTCCTCTTCAATATCAGTAAGAGCCAGCCAGCATAGGATGAAGACAGACTTTTTTTTTTTAGACGAAGTCTTGCTCCCTCACCCAGGCTGGAGTGCACTGGCACGGTCTCGGCTCACTGCAACCTCCACCTCCCGGCCTCAGGCAATTCTCCTGCCTCAGCCACCGGAGTAGCTGGGATTACAGGCGCACGCTACCATGCCTGGCTAATGTTTGTATTTTTAATAGAGATGGTGCTTGGCCATGTTGGCCAGGTTGGTTTACTCCTGACCTTAAGTAATCCTCTCACCTCTACCTCCCAAAGTGCTGGGATTACAAGTGTGAGCCAGTGCACCCAGCCCAGACTATCATTTTTAATTGGAGTTTCTGAGTTTTTTGATCCAGATCAATAGTTTTGTGGTTATTTGGTGTCTTCAAAGCTATTCTAATGCTCTCTTCACTTTGAGATATGGGGTATAAAAGTATTGTGTAAACTGGAAATGTTATAAAAATATATGGCATTATCATTTTTAGGTATACCATGTATTTGGTGGGGAGGGGAGCTATCTAATTGCTAGGACTACCAATTTTGTTAATAGAAAAAGAAAAAGGGACATGTGTTATTTGATTTTAGTGACATATTTCAGGGCCACGTGTCTATACCTGTAAACATTTAGCCAACAAACATTAATTAAGTGTGCATTTTCTATACACTGTGCTAGGGAATGATGGCTACAAAAGCAGGAAGTCATAGTCCTGGCACTCCGAAAGCTTAGAGAGAATATGAATGAGTACAGTTACACTGACAATATAGAATGAAGCATGGTGTGATGTGTAAAGGCAAGGGACTAGGAGAGAACATGGCTCAAACTGCTAGAGCAGGAGTGAGGAGGTACCCAAGTTCTGAGTGAGAGATGCAGTTAGTTGGGTAGTTATTGGGTGAAACTTATGCAAAGACACAGAGACCACATGATTTTGGGGACTTCTCAGAGACCACATGATTTTGGGGACTTCTCAGACATATCCAATTGTCTAAGAAGAAAGGTGGAGAAAAAGGCAGGGTCTAGATGATAACTAATGTGTATGTCATAGTAAAGAGTTTGGAAATAGGTTGGAATCACTATTCCCTGGCCTGTACGTCTCCCTGATCCACAAACCATTAAAAACCAGGACAGGAATACCCACTCACAGTAATTACCGTAGAGTTCTCTTTCTCACTTTTTCCGTGTTCCAAGCCTGTTCTCCTTGGACATTGCCTTTACATTGTCTGACATTCTGGTGTTCTTCCAGTCCTCCTGACCTCTTTCTCAGCCCCTAAACCATTTCAATCTTATTTCTAGCCCTTGGATTTGTTTTGTTGATTAGAAATTATTTTCTAATTTTCATATCATCTGTGTTGCCTCTAATCACGTAGTTTGATGCATAATATTTAAAATAACAATTTTTTTTCTATATAGGCAACATACATATTTTTGCTGAACTTATCATTTTGGAAATCTTAAAGAAATCTCTTAAACAATAAATTAAATAAATAAAGCTAAGGATCAACCTTAGCTTTCCTCAAGTGGCCTTGCTTTCCCTTTATGGCTCCGTGTATAACATTGTCTCCAGGGGGAATCCTCTGTTTTGTGTGAGATCCATACAATCCAACCTTGCATAAACTTGACCGCTTGGTCAGTAGGCCACTCTTTTTCTACAGCCTTAACCTTTTCCTCTACCACAGTGGGACTTCAAAAACGTCAGAAGTCTTCTAAGCAAATGAGTGACACAATCATATTTGTTTTTTTAACTCTTCTCCTGTAAGCAGTTTGTGAAGTGTGGTAGGCTTTCAAGACTTTAAGCATGGAGATAAACTGTTACTCATCCTGAACTGTACCTGTGGCCCATTTCAGAATGGTCTGTTTCAGGAAAAGACACCATTGTCCTCCTGACAGCTCAAATAAGAAACATGGGATTATTTTAGATTTCTTCCTTGTTCCCTCTCTAATCAGTCACCTACTTCTGGTCAGTTTCCAACTTGTTAATTATATCTTCTTAAATTTCTCAAAAGCTCCATTTTTCTCTCCATTGCCCCTGCTCAGTCAGACTAGCCCAAATTCTCTATTATTTGGATTACTGGAATAGTCTACTAATTGGTTGTCTTGCTTCTAGCCTTGCACCCTCTAATTGATTTCCTTTGATACAGCCTGAGTGATCTTTCTAAATGTAAGTCTGATCAATTCTCTTAAAACCCTTTAATGATCCTCATTGTTCATACAATATAAATCCCAATTTCTCATCATGGCTTACAAGGCTCTTCATGATCCTATCCACTTCAGCAGTTTTATTTTTTGCTACTTTTCCTATTCTGCACTTAATGTCTGGTCACAGAGAACTTCTAGTTCCTTGACCCACCCATTGCTCTTTGCTACCTATGTCCACACTCCTTTCTTTCTGGAACACTGCACTCAGCACTTCCCTTTGACTGGCTAAGTCCTTTCATCCTTTAGGTTTCAGCTCATACTTCACCTTCTCCAGGAACTGTTCCTGCATTCACAGGGCTGGGGTATGTGCTGTTTCTTTGTGCCCAGGTAGCCCCCTGTACTTCCCCAATGACAGCACTATTCCACTATATTTCAATTACCTTTATGCTCATCTATTCCTCTCAATACTGGAAGCTCCATTGTATTTCACATCCTATCACCTAGCAGTGTTTGTTTGAGGTAGTAGCTGCATTACTCATTGTGGAGTAGATACAATGCAAATAAATGCCTCTCTTTCTGTATCTTAGCCAGCTTCTCTGAACCCTCTGGACAGCCCTTCCTATCACTTTCTGTATATCTTCCTCGATTGTGTCCGCTTAGGACATATCCTTGGCCCGCTTGCTTTTTGGTAATTGCTTGCTACCTCTAGAAAGATTTCTCCTTTATGAACTTTATTATGCCTTGATTTTGTTCCATGCCATAGCATGCGTGGGTGCCCACACTGCTTGATTGTAGTAAAACACTAATGTAATATTGAAGGAAGAGATTTGGACTTACAATAGTAAAAGCTAGAGAATTAGTTTGGGTTAGATCTATGAAAGAAAGAGTCGGTGGCTAATACTGATAACCAGACTTCGTAAAATGAAGAAAATGTCTTTTGTCAAAAACTTAGTGAGTTTCAGATGTTATCAAAATCTCTTGTACAGGAAGCTCCCGTACCAAAACTGTTAATAGGGGCTTTATTCTTAATAGGTCTCAAACAGGTACTACCTTTTCCTCCTCATCATACATATATGACATAAAGGTAGAGATTTAAAATTTTGGAGGTGACCAGTTCAGCAAAAATGTATATTTCGTCTATTGTTTTAAATACTGTGCTTCAAACTACTTGACTACATTGGAGGCAAAACAATATGAAAATTGGACAATATTTTTATTTCGTTTTCTGTTTGTATGTCATAGATATTTGTTCATATATAAAAACATGCCTTATATATGAAGTTAATTATAATTTTGAACCCCTAGCAATGTAATAATTAAAACAAAAGTCTAAGATTTGAAGAGATAATTTGCTTCAGGATTTTGATGGAAGGCAAATGCTAACTTTAAAAACCAGATTTCGGAGAAGTACAAAAGAAATAGGTAAAATATTTTATTTATTATTCATGATTCTAATTTAACAGGAAAAGATTATATAAAATTATTTTGGCTTCGCTTGTTTTTCTGCTTTCTCCATTTAAATCTTATGTCTTCAGAAATGCTCAAGAACTGCGAATGGAGAAAGTACAGTTAGAGTTTGAGAACCAAGAGATGGAGAAGAAACTGCAAGAATTCCGATCCACAAGAAACAAAGAAAAGGAAGATAGAGAGTGAGTGAAACTCTTAGAGAATTTTAGATGAATCAACTAAATTATATAAAGAACTATTTTATATACTGTTGTCATTCCAATAAAAACATTTAATGGATGGATAATTTCTGACTTTTCCTGATGAACGAGCAATAGCAAAGGCCTTCTATTTTTTGTTTTTGTGCCACTTAGATGAGACATGTTGCTTTTTAAAATTACCATTACTTTTGTTTCTTCTGAACATTATTGGGTCTTATCCTTTCTTATTTCCTTTTTATTTAACTTTTGGCTTCTCATTGATTTATGGTCTGGAATGTTTATGACAGCAGTGCACACTTTACCTTTTGCTCTCAGAAAATTGCCATCAATAACAAATAAACACCAGTTTATGTTTAGAGCCATTTTTATGTATTCAAAAGCTTTTGGGAGCAAGAGTTCACATATATATACATAATGAAGATCTGAAAAATAAATGCTATTACATATATATATGTATATATATATATATATATACATATATATAATCAGAATTGCTCAAACCCTTATGTATATTTAAAATATATTTAGCAAATGCTGGTTAGCTGAAATTTTATTAATGAGAACTTTCTAATATTATGCTTATATATTTGTACTAATTATACTGAATTTGTTGTTTTGTTATAAAATAATATAAATGATAACAAACAGAACTAATAATTATGTGATGGAAATTCTCTCTTCTTAGCTCTAGGCTAACTCCCAGCCCATTTTCTAGCACCCATTTTAATGACTAAAAATTTTCTCCACAAATGTCTTATCTTTGTGTAAGTATACGTATATACATGTGTGTGAATGTATTTTGTTTTCAGTGAGTATATCTGTTGCATATATTGTATCGTTTACTTTTTTTTTTTTACAAATGAGTTCATCTAAAAATATGGGAATTAATTCATGTCCTACTATTTTACTTAATATATCTTAATGCTCCTATCACATCAGAATGCATTGATGTGATAAGAAAATTAGCCTAATTTTCTTAGTGGCTACGTAGTATTTTTTGTGTGGATATAATAGCATTTATTTTTCAGATCTTTATTATGTTTTTAGTATCTTATGATTATAAATGCTGCCATGAACATGCTTCTTCATGTATTTTCGCTTACATATGCAAAGCTATTTGTGGGATAAATTCCTACCTCTGTAATTTTAGGTCAATGTGTTATTTGCATTTTACATTGTGATAGACATTGAGAAATTGTCTTCCAAATAGGTGTCAAAAGTTCATAATCTTTTCCTACAGTGTATGAGAGTGCATGTTTCATGTCCGTTTGCTGGTACTAAATATCACCAAACTGTTTGTATATTAAATTAACTTTTGTTTAGTCCTCAAAGTGATGACCATCAAATACCTAGAAGTACCTTCTTAACGTTTAATGACAATTCAAATGTGTTCATTATACTTTCAGTAGTATTTATCTTTAGAGTCCATTTCTTTGAAAAATATGCATAACTTATATACATACCCCCTCTAATAGAGCATTGGTTTAATCAGAGCATCTCATGTTGTATGTCATCCAGGATGACAAAGTTTATTATGTGTCTTGCTGCTTTTAATGACCCAGTGGCCAATTCTTTTACCTTCACTGATTTGGACTTAGTTTGGACTTCTAAATGGATCATGATACTCATCTGAGAATCGGAGTTGCTGGAATCAGCCCTGATAGTGAGTTTTTCTTAGCTGTGGAAGCTTTTCTAGATGATTCTTAACATTCTAAAGCTTGACTGAGTTTTCAGAATAGTTACATTGTTTTCTGAGGTCACACAGATATTAAATGTCATAGCCAGAATGAGAACCTGCCACTCACTAGCCAGGAAAATAGAAGTCTAGTGCTCCAATCTTAATTATTTATTCTGTGTGATGTTGGGCAACTTTTTGTCTTATTGTTATTTTTTAATGATAATTGGACTCTCTGCCTTGATAACTTCAAAAATATTTTGTTATGCTCAAGTAAACAAAGCTCAAGTGCTTTAAAAACTGTACAGCTAAAGTATGCCTTCTTTGTAATCTCTGTTATGTTTCAATGTGGGAGATCATTAGAGGTTTTAACAAGGAATTCATCACTTACTAGATCCACTGAATATTTTGGGGTATTGGTTTGCTTGCTTTTCTTCTTTACATTTGTGGACATTTAGCTTTTAAAATTTCATAAAGACCTGTAAAGTTTCCTACAAATCAATAAAGCTATCTTTAGTCATTGTGAATATCAAGGAAATAGAATTCTTCATTTGTGTTTGGACATTTCATTTTATTCATTTCTCCACAAAGGTCATAAATATGATAAAGCTACATTTTAAAATTACTGAGGATATTGTGACATTATTGATATTTATTTTTCATGTTTTGCTTGTTTACTGCATGTTAACAACTGAATTTCCATTTTCTGAAACAGGAACACTGTATTTCTTTTCATTAAAGGGAGAAATGTGTTTAGTGATTACATTTTATCTTGTTTATATATATTAAAGGTCAAGCGAGTATTACTGGAAATCTGGAAAAGTGGGCAAATTGGTCAATCAATCATATATGATGTCACAAAATAAAGGAAATGTTGTTAAGGTAAGAAGATACTATTTGATTCTTATGCATTTTGCTAAGCAAGAAGATATTCTTTTTTAGGTCTTGCATTTTCTTCTATACTCAGGAATATACTCTTCTTATTTTAACAACTTTGCATATTATTCACTTGTTGATTTATTTTGCAGGGTAATATGCAACTTTCATTATTCAATTATGTTTTTGTTTTTCAGCTACAAACTGATTTCAAAATTTTACCTTGCAGTGAATTTTCCCACATCCCAAACTGAATTTTTCCATTCAGTGTGGATCTGGTTTAAAGTATATAAAATAGAACTAAATACTTCTAAACTAAGGTGAAAGCTATTGTTATTTAATATAACAAATGAGAGACTTTATTCCTACTTTTATATCACATTAGTTTAATGTTTTATATTCTGCTTCAATAATAATTTATTATTCATATACTGTTGATTCCATGTGTAAAGATACTCAAGAAAAAAATACTTTTCAGTTTCCCAGCTATAGAATTGCTGCTCCTTTACTGTGTGCTATAAAATATAATATTATATTTAAGATGAAAATCAGATAAGTGTCTTTACATAAAGAAAACAATTTTGCTTCTGGATTCTTTAGTGCAAGATTCGTGACTTTGTAAGTATTAGCTTACACAGTTTTTATTTTTTACGTACCTATCATTAAACTTTCATTGGGTCAGTTGGAATCTACAAAGATCTTACTTGGCGCTTCTAAAGTTTTTGGCTTTGAGAAAGCGTTTTATTCTCTGGTGTCATTCCCTATCTTAGGGAAAAATCAATTATAAAAGTTTTGACCCCAACGTTTAAAAAAAACTTATCTCACTAGAAACAGGCTATTTGTAAGACTATTAAAATAATCTAGAGGTCAGATGAAAGGAGGCTGAATTAAAAGGGTAGGAAAACATATATAAAGAAAAATATGGAACCATAAAACAGTGAGAAAGGAGAGGAGGAAGTCAAACATATAATTGATATTACAGGCTGGATTGACTAAGAGACAGCATAAAGAAAGGACTTAGAAAAGTACGGGGTATACATTTAGAGTTTTGTTTGAATTTTCAAGTGATAGTTGAAGTTAAGGGAGTAAATGTACTCCCTAGGATTTGTAAAACATAGAGAGGTGTAAAGAATAAAGCTTAAAGAAAGCCAGTGTGTAAACTATATTGGCAAAGAGAACTTTAATATTCACTCAATAAGCTCAATAAGTTTTAATACCAGTCAACAGTTTCGCTTCTTTTCCTTTCTTATCTCATTAAGTGCTTATATCACTCCTAAGAGGATGTTATTATTATTCCAGTTTCACAGATGAAATAACTTAATATAAAAAAAAACTAAATAACTCACTCAAGGTCAAAAGTCAGGGCCAAGATTTGACATGTAAGCTCTCAGGCTTGTCTAAGATAATTTGCCAGCTCTCTAGTGAAG
This sequence comes from Homo sapiens, assembly GCF_000001405.40. Taxonomy (NCBI): domain Eukaryota; kingdom Metazoa; phylum Chordata; class Mammalia; order Primates; family Hominidae; genus Homo; species Homo sapiens. The sequence goes on along the minus strand of NC_000003.12, from coordinate 167,364,464 downwards.
AGAGATTGAGAAGAAAAAGAATGGCGAAGTAAAATCGAAGTAGTTCAATGTTATAAGGACGAAAGTAAAGGAGAACATTTTTGGAAAATATGAAGTCAATAATGTCCAATATATTGTGTAGTGAAAAAAGTTTTGAGTATCTATTTAGACTAGTGTTTCTGAAGGGGGCAATTTTGCTTCCCAGGAGACATTTGACAAAGTCTGGAGACATTTTCAGTTGTTAACATTGAGAGGTATATTTTTGTTGTTGTTGTTGTTTTTGCGTATTTTTTTTTTTTGCTAAAGATATATAGTGAGTAAGGGCCAGGGGTGCTGCTAAACATCCTACAATGCACTTGACAATCCCCACAACAAAGAATTATTCGGCCCCAAATGTCAGTGATGCTGAGGTCTAGAAACTCTGTATTAGATTATATAGATTAACATTCACTTAACCTTTCCAAGCCTCTATTACTACACTTGTAAACTTGCATAATAATACCTACTAACCACTTCAAAGAGCTTTTGAGCAATGTCAAAAACTCTTGAAATATGTGAAACCACTTTGTAATGATACCTAAACATTACATTAAAATGTCTATTTCTGGATAATGAAAATATTTAAAAGACCTAAATTTGATGATTGTGTCAATATTAAATAAGAGAGTAGATTTCAATTGGTTGAAAAGAAAACGGTGGGAAGCAATGAGTAAAGACTATTGTTGCAGCCAGCATGAAAGCAGTTGGTGACCTTTCAAGGGTTTAATAGAATCAAGGAAAGACTTTATTATATTCTTTTCTAGAATTGTCAAGATGATGTGGGCCAGTTTGTAGAATGAAAGATGGACATCCTAGTAGAGGAAAGAGTCAAAATGTAGATGAAAGAGGTGCCAGTTGCTGGGTGTGTGGTCTTTGAAGAGGTAGTCCATTAAAGAGGCCTTCACCAAGGAAAGGAAGACATATTTTTTGTGTGTGTGTGAGACAAGAAAGGTGGAAGAAAAAACAGGTGGCAATGAAAATAAATTTTAGAGATTGTTTTTGACAAGTGGTGAGGTGGGACACTGAAAGATTTTAATGGGAAGACCTCAACTTTCTTAGGACAGTTGAAGACAATATCGTCTGCTCAGGTGAATTAAGGGAAATGGGATGAATTTGAGTTCTTGGGAATGAAGAGGTTTGGAGTAGCCACTGTGGGAATTGTGGTTGGGGATTAGCAGCAAATGAGTAAATGGATTGCCAAAGAGCCATATAGCCCATTGAGGCTGATCAGCATGGATTTGTAGGAGGCTCTATAGTATTATTTTTATCACAGTGGTACATAGATATTGGAGGCATCAGAAGGAAGAGATAAGGTGATTGAGGTTGGCACTGAAAAACTTTAGAGTCTGAGATTTTGAAGGTGTGGCTATTCAGAATGCTGCTTACATGCCAGATTTGGTTATAATGGTGAGGTGGCTGAAGAGGCATTTAGATGTTCACAGTAGCCAGCATGTTGGAGGGTCTTCAAACCAGGATGTCAGGTGAACATGTGCATTGAAGTCTCTAAGACTGTCAAGCAGAAATGTGATGGAGAGAAATACCGAGCAGGTTGCTGAAGTTCAGGTGGAAGAGACCCTAGATATTGACACAAGCAATAAGTGGATGGTGGGGACCTATAGTAGAGGCACCTTTGCTGAATCATGATAGCACAATAATATTCTGGAAACAGCACTGAAGAGCAAATAGAAAAATTTTCTCTTTCCTGGTATGTGAAAGGAAGTGGAAAGGGGCTAGGTCCTGTGGGAAGTGCTTTGGTGAAGATTGTGTCTAAGCAAAGGTGGCTTTCAGTTGATGTAAACTTTTGATGAAACATTTTTGGGAAAGGTTTAAAGCATAAGATACATAAATGACTATTTAATAGAAGATCCACGGAATGGCAGTGGGGGCTTGGAAGGAAGGACAATTAGTACAGAATTGCGAAGTTTCAGTAGCTAACTGGGTTGACAGTGAGAACGTCTGAAAGATGACTGTAGGAGAAGTTTGGGCTCAGTGTGGCAGATGAAGGCATTGGTGGGAGTTCGGAGGTATTTGTGAATGCCAGGGAGGCTGATGATGACAGCATATTCTGACCCCAGTGGCATAGATAATATGTCTGTGTGGTAAATCCACTAAGCTTTCCTGGCCCCTGATAGCACCCCTTCAATACCTACTGGTGGAGGAGTCAGCATGTTAATAAGGCATAGGCTTTAGTATATTAAGTTCCTGACATTTGTATATACAAACATATGCAGATATCCATCTTTCTATCTATATGTATATATACATATGCATGTATTATATATGTATATGTACATGCGCATATATGTGTATATGTGTGTTTGTGTAAGCATGTGTATCCTTGGTTCAACCCTACCTCCAACCCTTTCCCTAACAGATAAAAATCAGACCTATGAGGAAATTCTATTTGTCTAAAAATAGCAGCTAGAGGTTTGTTCACTGAAATATTTTTATGCAGTTTGAATCACTTGAAATAAATATGGCTGTATTCATAGAGCAGAACAATATTATTCATAATAATAAAAACAAATTATACAATTTCCCTAATAATGGGTTCATTTTGCTTGGGCATATCTATCCATTCCATCCAGGGTAGCCTACAACCACACTGATCATGTTTCAATTCAGATGTATCATTAAGGTAGTCATACTGGATAATTTGGTTATGAAAAATGAGATTAGATTATCTGTAACTTGTATAACATTAGCAATTTAAAAATAAAAGTGTGGTTCATAGAAAAATTGATGATTTCAATCTTATTTTCTTTTCTGCTGTGTTTAGTACATAGCATCTGAGCAGTTACTTTGAAGAATGTGAAAAATAACTGCCCCTTTGAAGCAAAACCACTAGATTCACTGAGAATAATTAGGCCTACATTTTCAGATGACTGCAGTTGCTACAGCCATAGATATAGAGGCAGTCATTGTTCTCAGATTCTCATGTACAAATTGAGCAATTGAGCATGCAAATTGCAAATTGAAAACTAGGCCTGAATTGACAGTATCTATATAAATGCACACCATCCTTCATTCTCGTTTGTGTACTTTAAATGTTGGTTTTAATAAGATCAAGGCAAGCATGTTCAATTGGCAAGAGTATTTTACTTCCTAAAATATTAAAATCCCAAAATTTTAAGTGATGATTTATTTGAAATATCTAGCAGTGAATCTTATTTATTCATTTTTTTTGGCTAATATTTAGGAAAGTCAGTGATCACAAATAATACTTTTGAAGGATAAGTCTGTGATGCTTACACATGCAGTTCTCTAAATTGGGCAAATAAAATAATATGGGTTTCTATAGTAGTGTAAGCAGAATAGCTTAGTCACAATTCAGTTTAGATTCAGCTTACACAAATATTAGACTGTGTGTCTCAGAAAGAGCAGAAATAGAAAAGATGTATTAAACCTTTACAATATTTGAATACTAGCAAATAATTTCATAATGAGATATAATGGTTTTTGTTTAAAAGCCAAATTATGTTTTCAAAAACTGGTTTAGATATATTTTTAAAATTTATTTTCTTTTTTATGAATTTCTATTAGATTAATTAAAAGGTACATATATGCTTTAATGATGATCTCCTATTAATTTTATATTATTCTTTAAAAATAAATTTTTGTTCGAAAAGCACCAAAGCTACAGCTTTCTAATATTTTTGTTGGCAACTTTCGTTGAATAAGATAATATATACCTGACAAATAGTATCTATTTTATTAATACAGTTTTCTGCTGGAAAAGTGAAATTAAAATTGCTGAAGGAACAGATTCAAGGTAAATAATTTATCACCATGTTAATAAATGCTAAAGACATCCCTTTCTTTTACATTGTAATTACAAATAAAGTTAAAGTTTTAGAATTGTCCGGGCAGTATAAAGATTCTAAACCCCCAAATCATGACACATTGATTTTCAACATAAATTTTATTCGGGTGGTTAGGGGGGCTTTTGTGTCAAAAAATGTAAACTTAGTACATGATTATAGTAATAGTATTTTTCAAAAGTGAGGACTTTTACAGCACTGTTCCTTAAATTTTATTGATGTAATGTTTTAATAAGGAAGATAATTTAGCAGTGTAAATTATAAATTAAAATTTCACTCTAGAAAATTTTTAAAAATAGAAAAATTGCTTTATATTTTAATAAATTATTTAATAATAGCAAAACCAAAAATATAATTTGAATTTATAATAATTCCCAAGGAAATAAGATGTTTTTCTGGAGGATAGTAAACACAAATGTTGCATGATTAATATAGTTTGGTAGAAAAAATTCAGAAATATATATAATATATATTTATATACATATATTTATTATGAATATATATAATTATAAATGTTTAGAATTTGTTCTATGTGGGCTTCAGTTTGATACAGAGATGGGAAGTATGCATAGTTTCATTAATTTATCAATTGGAAAATTTAACATATTTTTAAATGATTGGAGTAATATTATTTTTTATCTTGCAGAGCCAGTGAAACCAACAGTTAATTATAAAATGGCAAATTCTTCAGAATGTGAAAAACCCAAGATAAATGGGAAAGTATGTGGACAGTGTGAGAACAAAGCTGCTCTACTGGTATGTACGTTATATAGTATATATACATATACTGTATAGTAGGTATATTAAGCAGTTAGAATAGAACTTTCACATGGCCTCATACACCTCTCCCAACTTAACTTGCTTGGTAGCCATATACTTTTTCTTCATTACTGTTACTGTGGGTTGAGCATGCATGCTGCTGGGGACAGTCAATACCTGTACTTATTCTCTGAATCTCATCTTCTCATTCTTGTTTAAAGACATCAGCTTAGACCTTGTCTCCGCTCCTTTGAGTCATACCTATTAGCACACAAACATGTTGCAGTATATCCCATCCAAAACCAAAACCAAACCAAAACTACAACAACAATTCTTTTTGACCTCCAAGCCTGCACCCCATTATTGTAAAACTCTTCTGAAGAGTTGTCTATACTTGCTGTCATCATATTCTATCCTCCCATTGTCTATTTTTTTAATATTGAGGCATAATTTACTATGAGATGGATGGACTTAAATGTACAGTCAGATGCCTTTTGATTAATGTGTCCACCTCTATCAAGACCTAGAAGATTACCTTTACCCTGGAAAGTTCTCATGTGCCTTTTCCAATCAGTCCCCAACACCAAGGCAACTACTGTCCTGATTTTTAACACTATAGATTTAGTGATATCTGTTCTTGAACTTTATGTAAATGGAATAATATAGTATATACTTTTGGCTTCTTTTGCTCCACATGATTCATCCATGTTAAATTTATTGGTAATGTGTTCATTTGTATTATGGAGTAGTATTCCATTGTACAGTTATAACACAATTTGTTTATCCATTCATACATTGAATGACATTTGGGTTGTTTCAATATTTTTGCTATTATGTTTAAGGCTGCTATGGACATTTGTGTATGTCTTTTTTTTCTTTTCTCACAAGTGACATATTCTCTCTCTTTTTTTTTTTTTTTTTTTTTTTTTTTGAGATGGAGTCTTGCTCTGTTGCCCAGGCTGGAGTGCAGTGGCGCAATCTGGGCTCACTGCAACCTCCGCCTCCAGAGTTCAAGCAATTCTCCTGCCTCAGCCTCCCAAGTAGCTGGGATTATAGGCACGCGTCACCACGCCCAGCTAATTTTTTGTATTTTTAGTAGAAATGGGGTTTCACCATGTTAGCCAGGATGGTCTCGATCTCCTGACCTCATGATCCGCCTGCCTCTGCCTCCCAAAGTGCTGGGATTACAGGTGTGAGCCACCACGCCTAGACTATATATCCTCTCTTAAAAGCTATAATGTGAAATGAAAAAATTACAGAAAATTATGACTTCTGACTGCTCTTTAACTTCTCATTGGTACCAATTTCATGAACATTTAAAAAATTATAGTGAAATACATATAACATAAAATGTGTCAACTTAGCTATTTTAAGTATACAGTTTAGTAGCATTAAGTATATTAACATTGCTATGCTTCATTCACAGAACTGTTTTCATCTTGCAAAACTGAAACTCTGTATCCATTAAACAATCACTTCCCCATCCCCATTCCCCCCATCCCCTAGTAAATAGTATTTTACTTTCCGTCTCTGAGAATTTGACTACTCTACCTCATATAAGTAAAATCATACACTATTTGCCTTTTAGTTACTGGCTTATTTCGCTTAGCATAGTATCCTCAAGGCTTATTCATATTGTGGAATGATAGGATTTCTTTTTTTATTATTTTTTTATTTTACTTTATTTTATTTTATTATTATTATACTTTAAGTTTTAGGGTACATGTGCACAATGTGCAGGTTAGTTACATATGTATACATGTGCCATGCTGGTGTGCTGCACCCATTAACTCGTCATTTAGCATTAGGTATATCTCCTAAAGCTATCCCTCCCCTCTCAACAACAGTCCCCAGAGTGTGATGTTCCCCTTCTTGTGTCCATGTGTATTCATTGTTCAATTCCCACCTATGAGTGAGAATATGCGGTGTTTGGTTTTTTGTTCTTGCAATAGTTTACTGAGAATGATGATTTCCAGTTTCATCCATGTCCCTACAAAGGACATGAACTCATCATTTTTTATGGCTGCATAGTATTCCATGGTGTATATGTGCCACATTTTCTTAATCCAGTCTATCATTGTTGGACATTTGGGTTGGTTCCAAGTCTTTGCTATTGTGAATAGTGCCGCAATAAACATACGTGTGCATGTGTCTTTATAGCAGCATGATTTATAGAATTTCTTTATTTTTTAAGGCTGAATAATATTCCTTTGTATGTATGTGCCATATTTTGTTTAACTATTCATCCATTAGTGGACACTTGGGTTGCTTCCCCCTTTTGGCTATTGTGAGTAATGCTGCTATGAACATGAGTGTACAAATACCTCTTTAAGACCCTGCTTTCAGTTCTTTTGGGTGTATACCTAGAACTGGAATCACTGGATTCCCATTCTCTCTTGAATTCTCTCCATTCAGTCTTGGGTCTCCACTACTATCCAGGAACTGTTTCTGTCAAGGTCAACCAGTGACTTCCACATTCTCATATACAATGGTCAATTCTCAGTTCTTAATGTATTAGGAATATTTTATAGTACAGTATCCCTCCCCTTATCTATGACTTTCTTCATTCAGCTGGCTTCCTCTGGGACACTATGATTTCTTGATTTCATTTGACATTGATATCTGTTTCTTCTCTGTTCTTTGCTGGTTTTCTGTATTGACCTCTTAATGTTGGAATGCCACAGGGCTCTAATCTTGTCCATCTATACTTACTCTTTAGCAATCTCAACCCCTCTGTTGGCTTTAAAGACCCTATCTATATTGATCATCCCCTAATTTACACATCCACCTTATACCTCTCCCCTGAAGTTTTGGCTCAATCTACCTACTCAACACCTTTATTGGATGTCTAATAGGCATCACTATTTTAATGTGTTCAAAATTAAGCCCTTAATCTTTTTCCAATAAATAGTCTTCCCTCACAGTTTCCTCATATCAGTAAATATCAACTCAAATGTTACTTACATTGATAGCCCTTTGTAAAATAGTAAAAGCTGAGTTGCACTCTCCAGTTTTGTGAAGCTAGTTCATTTGTCTATGTAATATTGATCATCATTGATTATATGTTTATTTATTTTCTACTTATCTGCAATGTAAACTTCATGAGGGTAGGAGTGTAGTTTTGTTCACTGCTGTGTGCCTACCACCTAGAATTATGCCTGCAGTGTGGTAGGCACTCAACAAATATTTAATGAATGAATTATTTCTTTGAAACTATTTCATAATATAGACATTCTCTTAATTTACACATATTTTCCTTTCAGTTATCATTGAAGGTACTGCAGCATCATTTGCAATTTTAAATATAACACATAGGTAAAAAGCAGTTTCCTCTTCAAAGAATTTAATGGTTATGTATACTAATATTTGTATATTATGTTACAGTTTTAGAGAACTTAGCCATAATCATTTCTGACTTAAATCTATATTGTTAGGTTTATTTAATGGCAATTTTAACTGGACTCTGAGTTCGAATGCTGCACATCTAATAAAGAGCTAATAACAATATTAAATGTAAAACCCCCGCTCTTGGTAGTAGAATACTCTTCTTATTACATTATATTATTTTCTTATTTGATATGATGTTTGGCAGTAATTTAAGGAATCTTAAAAAAATTGCTGTCCAGAAATTTGTAAAAATTATAAACAAATGCTAATATTTCCTAAGTTAAAAGTGTGAAAGCTAAAAGGCACTTACAGGTTGAATTAAATTGTTGGGATCTGCTTCTAATGATCTGAAAACGAATTATACAGGAGCTATGAGTCAATATTTTTTGTGACTCCTACTCTGTGGTAAGCACTTGAGCCATGGAACTTGAACAGTATGACACAAGTAGATAGGGCTTGACCCGAAAATAAAGGATCTGTTTTTCAAGAAAGAAGGAAAAGTAAGAAGAAGGATGTCCCAGACAAGATAAGCAGCAGGTGCCTTGGCTGGAAAGCACAGGAGAGTGACATTGTATGCAGTGATTAAACAGCTGATTTACCTGAAAAACACTGTGTAGACAAGCCAGAATTTAGAATAAAGAATTTAAACATTCTTTAAAATGATTTTGAGAAAGAATGTTATTTTATTTGAATAAAAAGAATATCCCATGTTAGTTGTCAAAACATAATAAAAAGCTATTTAAAAATTCAAATTAGGCAGATTTAGTGAAGTAGACCATGGTATTGTTAAACTCTGATGTTATCTTGTGTTCTTAGCATCTGTCATTGCATATGGTTATGCTGACTGGATAATGAGTGAATATATATATTTGAAAGCCACATATGTGTATATATGAATATATATATAAAGGATATATATATCTATGTATATAGATATAGATATATGTATATCCTTGGCCTTCACCAGGGAAAATTGTGTATGGGAGATAGGAGTTAAGGGCTTGTGTTTTGGGAGTTTGAAACTCAACTTTACCTGTTATTAGCTATGTGACCTTCAGCAAATGACTTAATCCCTCTTTATCTCTGTTTCCTCATTTGTGAAATAGGTTACTACGGATAACAGTAATCTGTACCTCAAAGTTATCACACGTAATGAGTTAATACATGTAAAATATTTAGCATTGTGTCCAGCACATAGACGGAAGACAATAAACAGTGTGTTTTGTTGTTGGCAAATTTTTAAATGACCTATCCATTTACATATATTGATGGCAAAGACGAAGCCCAAAAGTTCCACTTTTCTTATATATTAATTTGGCAAATGTGAATAATTTAATTAAACTCAAATGGATTCTGAAGCTTAGCACAACTGATCTGGCATTCATCAAATTAACAAGATATTTGTTAAAACTGCAGTTGGATATTCCATCATTGAGGAAGCATCTGTGGTGGGAAGGAGTCCTTATTTACATTTTTAGCATGTTTCTGCCAGTTGTACAAACTGCCTAAAAAGATTTTCCAATTGGAGGTCATTTTAACTCAATTTTAATCCAAATATCCTTGTATAACAAAATATATAAGCTTACTCTGCAAGTCCAGCATTGATCTTCCAGTCTACAAATATTCGTTTGGCTACTTTTACTAAAAGTATGTTGTTAACAGACACTTGGCTTAGAATTATATGCTGAAACTCATTTTCAGTTTTCTGCATTATAGTGTAAAAACAGTGCCAAATGTTTAGGAAAAATTCACTTAAAATTAGCAAGTTATATTAAATAAAAATTATGCAGAATATATTTTGAAATCCATATTAATATAATGATATAACCATGTATTTATATAAAATTATAGTTTTAAAGTTTATTTTACACTTAAAATTACGGATTTAGGATAATGTTTTTATCATTTCTCTAGAAGAATGAAGCTCATGAAACAAGAATGGAAAGAGGGGACTAGTTTCTATGCTAGGGATAGTGTTTTTTTTTCTTCAGATTAAGTAAAAATTCCATCATCTTTTAGCTAATCACACTTGAAAAACATACATTTGGATTTTGATACATACCAGACCATGCATTCTTTTTAAATACTGAATTTTATTTTATTGTGGATTTTATCAAGGTTTTTCGATATAAATGGTCCCTGACTTACCATTTTTCACTTACAATTTTTTGACTTTATGATGTGTAAAAACAGTATGTATTCAGTAGAAACCATACTTCAAAGTTCGAATTCTGATATTTTCCCAGGCTAGTGATATGTGGTAAAATACGATGCTAGGAAGCTCATAGTCAGCCATGTGATCATGAAGGTTAAAAAAAACACAAGATATTCAACAATTTATTATAAAATAGGTTTGTGTTAGATGATTTTGCTCAAATGTAGGCTAATGTAAGTGTTTTGAGCACATTTAAGGTTAGCTAGGCTAAGCTATGATGCTTAGTAGGTTATTTGTACTAAATATATTTTCAACTTACAATGTTTTCAATTTATGATGGGTTTATTGGGCAGTAGCCACATTGTAAGTTGAAGAGTGTCTGTAACTGATCACTATTTTAGTTTATTGTAAATGATTAATTTAAAGATTAGTAATGTTTGTTGTGGTTAAGGGTTTAAGCTTTGAGCCACATGGTAGGATTGAATTCCTGTCCCCACCACTATTAGCTTGTATGACTCTGGACAAATTCTTCATCATTATGTTCTTTTGTTATCTCTTCTTCATTATGGAGATACAAGGGTGATTGTAAATTTATAGAGTTGTTGTGAGGATTAAATGAGATAAAACATATAATATCACTGCTCTGTTATAATTTATTATTATTATTTTTATTTTTATAGATTTAGTTGGTACAAGTGAAGTTGTGTTATCTGGATATATTGTGTAGTGATGAAGTCTGGGCTTTTAGTACCCATCATCTGAATGGGAACATCATAGCCACTATGTAATTTTTCAGTCTTTACCCCTTTCCCACCCTTCCAATGTATGGAGTGTCCAGTGTCTATTTTTCTACTCTGTATGTCCATGTGTTTAGTTAACACCCATTGTTTAGCTCTCCCACTTACAAGTAATACATGCAGTATTTGACTTCTTGTTTATGAGTTATTTCACTTAGGATAATGGCCTCCATCTAGTTCCTTTCATGTTGCTGTAAAAGATGTAAAATCATTCTTTTTCATAGTGGAGTAGTATTCCATGGTATATATCTTACAATATTTTCTTTATCCAATCAATTGATGAGTGTGTCAGAGAAGCCATTAGGGTTTTCTAGGCATAAGATAACATCATTAGCAAACATAAATAATTTGACTTCCTCTTTTCCAATTTGGATGCCTTTTATTTCTTTCTTTTGCCTGATTGTTCTGGCTAGGAATTCCAGTACTATGTTGAATAGAAGTGGTAAAAGTAGGCATCCTTGTCTTTTTCTAGTTGTTAGGGGCAACGTTTTAGACACTTCCCAGTTCAGTAAGATGTTGGCTGGGGTTTGTTGTCTTATGACTTTTATTATTTTGTGAATGTTTCTTCTGTGCCTAGGTCGTTGAGGGTTTTTATCATGGAGTGATGCTGAATGTTATCAAATGCTTTTTCTGCATCTAATGAGATATGATATAGTTTTGTTTTTATTCTATTTATGTGGTAAATCACATTTATTGGTTTGCATATGTTGAAACATCCCCCATCCCCTGGATAAAACCCACTTTATTATGGAGTAGTATCTTTTTGATGTGTTGTTGGATTCAATTTGCTAGCTTTTTTTTTTTTTGAGAATTTTTGTATCTATGTTTATTAATGGTATTGGACTCTTAAGTTTTATTGTGTCCTTGCCTGGCTTTGGTAGCAGGGTTACCCTGGCTTCTTAGAATGAGTAGGGAGTATTTCCTCCTTGATTTTTTTGAAATAGTTTCAGTGGTATTGGTATCAATTTTTCTTTTTATGACTGGTAGAATTTGCTGTGAATCTGTCTGATCTTGGCTTTTTTGTTGTTGGGAAAATTTTTATTACTGATACAACGTCACTACTCATATTGGTCTGTTCTGGATTTCTATTTTTTCCTGTTTCAACCTTGAGAGGCTGTGCGTTTCCAGGAATTTATTCATTTTCTATATGTTTTCTAGTTTGTGTGTGGAGATGCTCATAGTAGTCTCTGATGATCTTTTGTATTTCTATGGTATCAGTTTTAATGTCACCTTTATCATATCTTATTGTGCGTATTTGAATCCTCTCTCATTTTTCTTAATCTAGCTAGTGGTCGATCAATTTCATTAATTTTTTCAAAGACCCAATTTTTCATTTTGTTGATTTTTTACATTTTTTAGCTCAATTTTATTTATTTCTTCTCTGATCTTTGTTATTTCTCTTTTTCTGCTAGCTTTGGGTTTGGTTTGTTCTCTTTTTTTATGTTCCTTGAGATCTTTCTATCTTTTTGATATAGGCATTTGATGCTATATACCTCCCCCTTAGCTGGCTGTGATAAGGAGGGGTGGACTGATCCCAGGTCACCAGCTGAACACTGGTGGGTCAGCGATGGCTATGTTGTGGGCCAGCAACCAGGAAGGGCAGAACATTCTCTAATGGAAAGGCCAGCAGACAGTTTTGGGAGAGACTGACAGGAATGGGGTGCTTGATCTGAATGCACCAGGTCATGCATCAGTAGTGGCAGAGCATGAGAACACCCAGCTTCCCCTCTTGCTCCCCAGCCCTGCAGACAGGAAGGGCACCAGTGGTCTCTGGGCAGGACTCAGACCCTTGGGGTATGGGCTCCAGGAATGGCACCTTAGTGCAGCTGCTCAGCACTTGGAAGCCTATGGGACTTCACATGAATTCTAGCCATTCCTCTGTGTGATATCCAGGCACCTCTCTAGGCCAGTGTGGAGGCCTATGGGGCTCCTAGATCTCTCCATAGTTAGGATTGCAGAGGTCCATGGTAGGAATGAGGAGCATTGGAAATCCTTCACTTACTCCTTCCCTGGGTCCAGGTCCCAGTGACCCCAAGCAGGAAGCCCTGTTTCTCTTTTCTTCACCCTTGGTGTCTCCCATCATCTCTCTTCTGAATTCCAGTGTTCTCTCTCAGGCAATCTATTTGAAATGTGAATATCTACTTGATACTTTGGCTCCTGTCTATAGAAAGGCACACCCAAGCTGCATTTAATCATCCATCTTGAACCTGACATCCAATTTCCATTTCCTTTTCTCTTTAGTTTCAGTTTTGCTTGGCACCATCATAGGTACGAGTATTTTACATTATTTAACTTGTCCAACAATTTTAAAATTACATTTTTAAACATCATAATTTGGAAGTTAAATATAAACTTGCCCATAATCATTTTATCAGTTATTAACATTACAGACATGGTAATGTAGTTCCATCTAGTATTTTTTTCTTATACTTTTTTTTTTCCTTTAGAGATGCTTGTAAGAAAAATTTTAAAGCCATACTTTGAGAACCACCAGTAAAGGAGTACCTTCCAGGGAAGTGTATAGGGATTTTGGAGGGCAAAGAGTATGCATATCACTTGAAACTAATTATGTCATGTAAATCCATACAGAAAGATAAAATAACTCATACAAATGAAGGAGTTTTCACCCAGAGATAATGCTGTTTAGTTTTTACCAGGTCAAGAAGTTTGACCTGAGGCTACTGGTTGTTTTATAGTTTATTCAGAAACTATGCATACATCCATGCATCTAAAATATACACCCCAAACCTACATTAAAACTACATTTATTTTGATATGAGAATAATTAGTGTTTTCGAATTAGTTTTCTTCAAAGAGTTAAGTCTTAACTGGGACAACTAGTCCCAGTTAAGGGACTAGTTGAGAAGCCTGGGACAGGCTTCTCAATTCTGATGATATAGGTATTTAATTAGAGAAATAAATATTAAAAAACAAGACATCTTTATGCAAACACTTTCTAAAAATCATACTATTTTATAAGATTGTATAATTTTTTAAAAAATATCTTTTTAGGTATGCCTTGAATGTGGAGAAGATTATTGTTCAGGATGCTTTGCTAAAGTTCACCAGAAAGGGGCACTAAAGCTCCACAGAACAACTCTTTTGCAGGTATGGCTTTCTAAAATGATTTACTTGTAGTGTGTTTATAAAATGTTTCCACATAAAGACATTTAAAATGTCTTTAGTTATCTAGAACTCAGGATGATTTACGCTAATTTCTAAAATTCTATTATATACAGACAATCCTGATGCATATTTTTAAATTATTTTATTGAATACTAATCTAGACTCTATTTTACTATTTAAACTGTTTTAACGTAGTTGCAGAAACAGCTTAGAGTCTTCAGATTATGTATTCTGACTGTGAACTTGACACTTAAAAATTAGAAAATATTTTATCTATTGTGATTTCAAATGAACACATAGGTTATTTTAAATATTATTTCTATAGTTTTTAGGTATAAATCTCTTATGTTTTCAAGTTTATTTAAAAATTAGTTCTTATTTATCTTTGCCCATTATTATTTAGGAACGCTTATCTCTCAGGTTTCTATTTTTCCTTCTGTACATATAAGGACCTTTTGTTTATCCTTATATAATCATTGATTTTGGAAATGCCTAAACTCAAACCCTGTCAAGTGGCTTTAAGATTCTAATACTTAAACTATAAATAGAATTAGATATAGACATGGCATTACACTAGTTACAGTTAATGATGCATTGCTTTGTCATAGATTTTATTCATTTTATAGTAATTTATTCAACAAATATTTATTGAGTACTTTCTAGAAGGCAGGGTATGTGCTAGGCTGTGACCTTATAGAGATGAATAATGGTAGGATCCTACTCCTAATTAGTTAAGGGTTTTAATATTATCTGTAGGCAAAGGAATAGAGATAATCAGATCTGTGTTTAGAAAGATTACTGGTAGATTTCAATCTTTGCGTTTACCTGAACATGCTAATAAATATCAGTAGCCATCAAGGGTGCTGATGACCCAAATAATGATAACCACAAAATGTAAAATATACCTAACTAATATTCACCAAAGTCAGTGACTTTTGAGTGACCACTCAATGTTTAGCGCTTCTGGGCAGAAAGGATGCAGGGAGAAAAAAACAAAAACCAACCTGCTACTTCTCTCTCTCATGGTATTACAATCAGATAGTCATAAGAAATGAAAATTAATTGATACAGAAGTGAGTCTAATTGTTAATATATGAATAATATAGAATTTAACAAAAGGCATTCTACTTTGTAGATAAATACTGTAACAAAATTATCACAGATGAGTTCATATTAGGAATTTTTCATTCAATGATTTATTGAGCACATTTTCTGAGTTATCACTCAGTGACGTTAAGCCCTGTGCTAGCTGTTGTAGGAGATACAAAGAACAATGAGACATGGCTCCATTTCTTCAGTATCTGAGCTTCAAGATTTATCCAAATTTGATTTTCTTCTTCTTGCTCTCTCTCCCTCCCTGTCTTCTCCTCTCCCTCCCACATAATTTCAAAAGATAGACTTTGCTGTGATATGGCTTATTGTGATCCAGATGCAGATACGACACCAGTCAAATAATTACTGAAAGCAACATGGCATACAGTATGCTTTCTAAACGTTGAGCATTATTTTGTTTTGTTAATATTATTAAAGTGTATGTATCCTGTATCTTAACAGAAGAAAGTGATCATTGTAGGTTGGAAATTTGTAAAATTCCAAATGTAGATTGGATTAAATTAGTGAGAAAATATCTACCGAATATACACTTCATATATATATAGTATGTTTACTGTTTCTTTTGTATAACTTCCTTCGGGTTACATAGTTCTTTTGCACAGAACATGTATGGCAATCTACAGACTCTCTCTACTCCCTTTCTATCTTTATTGAGCCATAATTGACAAATAAAAAATGTGTACAATTAAGGTGCATAATTTGATGTTTTGACATATATATAGATACACATTTTGAAATAGTCTCCAAATTCAACATAATGAATGTTTCTATCACTTCACATTACATCACAATTTCCTCTCTTTCTTTCCTTCTCTCTCTTTCTTTCTTTCCTCTTTCTCTCCTTCTCTCTCTTTCTCTCTCCCTCTTCTCTTTCTCTCTCTCCTCTCCCTCCCTCCTTCTTCTTTTCTTTTCTTTTTTTTCTTTCTTTCTTTCTTTCTTTCTTTCTTTCTTTCTTTCTTTCTTTCTTTCTTTCTCTTTCTTTCTCTCTTTCTTCTTTCCTTCCTTCCTTCCTTCCTTCCTTCCTTCCCTTCCACCCTCCCTCCCTCCCTTCCTTCCCTCCTCCCTCCCTTGCTTCCTTCCTTCCTTCCTTCTTTCATCTTTCCTTCTTTTTCTCTCTTTCTCTCTTTCCTTCTTTCATGGTAAGAACACTTAAGATACTGCCAGCATCACATTCTTTGGTTTTGATTGCAGAGGAGGGAAGGTTGGTAAGCCACAAATAGTAAAATGGTATTTAAGTTCCTAATAAATCTCATTGTAGAATATACATTTATCTCTAAAAGTTAGCATACATGGATTACATAATATGTACACAAATCAAAGAGCTTGGCAAGGAACTATGATTCTTTTAAAGGTTTCTTCAAATATTGGGATTCTTTTATGTATATAAATTTAAAGTTAAATACAATAAAGAACTATGTCTCTTCCTTGTTCATGTTACTCCTTTATGTTTCCACACCATCTGTGGAGACCAAAGTTGCTACTTGGTGCTGCTGTTGGGGAGAGTCCTAGGAAGTGTATTGTCTACTAGGGAAGTGGAATTGTGAGGTTGGCACTTAGCAAAGAGCATACACAGACTTCCTGTGCTGGGAGCTAAACCTATAATGATGTTATTCTCTTTTTTATAACATTATTTCACCTAACGGAATTACTAAGGAATAAAGTACTTTGAAGGAGACAGCTTTTTTGTTCAGCTAATTCTTAAAGCGAATTTGTCCCTTTATTCATAAAACAAAAATTTTAAATGAAAAGTTTTTAAAAAAAATTTGGATTCTGCATGTATGTGGTTTCATGTAGTATTTTTCTTTCTGTGTCTGGCTTATTTCATTTACTGTAATGTCCTCCAGGTTTATCTATGCTGTCATAGTTAAACATATCTTCTTTTTAAAGGCTGAATAATATTCCATTTTTTATACATAGGTGCTTTTAGTACTAAAAAGAAGCAACTGTGTGAGGTGATGGATATGTTAATATGCTCAATGGTAGTTATCATTTTACATGTATATGTATGTCATGTGCATGTACATGCATACCAAAACATCATGTACATGTTTGTATACTTTAAATATATACAATAATAAATAAATTAGATAGATGTTTTTTGAAAGAAACTATTTCAAATTGTACTACGTACTCCCTCCTGTAAATAGAGCACAGTGAACAGTTTCACTATGTGTGAGTGACTCATGCCTGTTATAATAACCACCTTTATTATAAGAAATAGAATAAGAAAGAGGCCTCAAATAGCTGATATAGTGTTTATGATGATATATTCCCCCTCAGAAATTCACTATTCTGATTAGTACTTAATTTTTCTCCTTTATTCTGGTCTTGCCCATTCTCTGTCATCATTTCTTGATTTTAATCAATTGTCTTGTAGCTCTCTGCCATTTTCTTTCTATCTCTAGTCTCTGTTTAACCTTTCACTTCTTTTTTCAGTCAACATGCTTTTTTGTCTTATTGTTTTTATCATTTTCCTATGCATAAAGTTTTTGTTGTTGTTGTTGTGCTTTGGCTTTGATGGCCATTTGGTCAGATATCTCTTTTTCTTAGCTCTCACTAACCAATCTTGTAGTGGTTTTTGTTTTTTATTGTTAACCATTAAAGTCATAAGGCTTTGTTGACTGCTGAATCCATTCCTAATTTGAGAAGTTAGGGAAGACATCCGACAGATGAATATTAAGCATTGCTATATAAAAAGCAAGTATTCTAGGCTGACGGTGATTACACTTTATATTCTTTAACCTGTGCTGTCATTTGTGGTTAATATAAAGTGTAGCCAAATTTGATAGTTGTAAACTGTTTCAGCCTTTATCCAACAGCCCAGTAGGTCCTGTGAGTTTAGTCAGTATGGATCATTTTGTATCAGCATACCTTGTTTTACTTACGATCTCTGAAAAATTGAAGGCAAATATTTACATGTTGACTAGTGTTGTAATTTCAAAGGGCCTTTCCTTTGATTTATGATTGATTTGTACTTGGCAGTGATTCAAAACACTTCAAGTTTCTTTGCCTTTTCCAACCTCTGTTAAATATTTAATTAACTGAAAAATGAGGCATAAATGCATGAGAGGCAATTATTAAGGATTAAAATTTTACTTCTACATGTAGAAAGATTGTCAACACTAAGGGTTGAAACAAAAGTTATTTTCAGATGAGAAATGAGGTCTTAATATATCAGGCATTCCTATTTCCTTTTAGCAACGTAAGATCAGACAGAAGAGACAATGTTAATTAGAGAGAATAGAAGATGAGGGAAAACAAACAAAAAGCATTCTATTTGTGAAGTATGACATGCACAAGGGGGGTTAGTTTAAGTAAATTATTAATAGATTATGGTAAATACATTTTCTTAATTGGAATGGAAATTTTCTTAACTGAAAAGGAGAAACCTTGGGAAGGTGGGTGGTATTAATGAAAGAAAAGATAATTGAGGTAGAATTTCCATGCAGTTTTGGTTACTGTAGCCTTGTAGTGTAGCTTGAAGTCAGGTAGCGTGATGCCTCCAGCTTTGTTCTTTTTGCTTAGGATTGTCTTGGTTATATGGGCTCTTTCTTGGTTCCATATGAAATTTAAAGTAGTTTTTTCTAGTTATGTGAAGAAAGTCAATAATGGTAGCTTGATGGGAGACCACAGAAGGGGCAGAGTTGAGAAACGCAGTTCCTTCTCTCAGAGTTACCAATAAGATTGAAATATGTGGATGACAAGTAAATGTTCTCCCAAAAAAGGAATTATCATAAAGTCACATGATTTTAGAGTCCAGGTATGTAAATATTTTGAAAAAATGTATGAATTTTCTATTTGTAAGTATTAATGTTATACTTAAGAAAAATAAAATATTTTAAATGTATGTGAACAATTGAGTATTGTCATATTTTTAACTTATTTCTTAAATATGAATAATGCATATTCCTTATACTACAAGTGCATGTTCATTCCCTTCAATGATTGTTATCACCTGGCATTTCTTCTATCAAAAGATTTTAAAAACCATGTTGCTATCGACTATCATATCTTCTGATAAATTTTAGGACCTTGTGAGAAGGACTCTTTTTTGTCTTGTTCATCACTGTATCCTCAGTGCTTAACATTGTACCTGTGCTGTATAAATCAATTTTTTAACAAATAGAAATGTGAATGAGTCCTTAGTGGTTTGATTAAGCTCCTGAAATAGCGTAAAACTGTATTTTAGGGCAAAATTTATTTTTCTCTGAATTTTGAAAGCAAGGGAATTTTTAACCAAGGATTGGATAATTAAAAGGATTTATGGTATGTTAAGTTGTTATATCAGTGAAGGGTTAACAAAAGCTTTTCCTCCTAAATGTGAGCATTTGACCTTTAATTAACTTTCTCGCCCTTTCCCTGGGAAACAGATAAAGGTAGTCATGTCAACTACATTCCTAGGCAACATACTTATGGTAAGTGTAACCTCTACTTGGCAAATTACATCTAAACAAGGAGAACTATACATACTTGAAGGAAGATATAGCTCCCTGAGTGCAGTGGGCTTTGTAACTGAAACATTCCACTATGGAACTAGCTCTGGAGCTATGAGGTGGGGATTGGCTCTGGTGGAAAGTAAGGTTTCTAAATCAGGTGTATTCCTTATCTACCTGAACTGTACTTCTGCTTGAACTCCTGCAAGAATACCACCAAAAAGGAACAGCTGATGCTGTCCTGCTGGCAAACTGTTATTCCTGTCCTCATCCTTCTGAATAGACTGATGCCAAGAGGATTTGATAGCAGTCTTGAGATTTTAAAGGTTTAGTTAACACAGGCAGACTCTGGTGAGCATGGCATTTAAGTCCTTGATGAGTCAGAATTTGAAACATAGAATGTTGGGATAGCCAAAAGACAAATGAAAAACACTTGTCCAGGAATCATTGACAAAAAGTTTTTAAGAACAGCATTATTGCGATATAATTCATATACCACACAATTCATTCATTTGAAGTGCACAATTCAATGAATTTTAGTATGGTTACTGCTAAGTGAAACTATTAGCATAATTGACTTTAGAACATTTTTGTCACCTCAAAAAGAAACCCCATACCCTTTTGCTCCATCCTCCTCCTATCTCCCTATATTCTCGGGACCAATACTCCTTTCTCTCTCTCTAGATTAGCCTATTCTGGACATTTCATATAAATAGAATCATGTCATATGTGGCCTTTTATGAGTGGCTTCTTTTACTTGCATAACGTTTTCAATGTTCATCCATGTTGTGCCATCTATCAGCATTTCATTTATTTTTAAGGTTGAATAACATTTCATTGTTTGATATAGCATATTTTGTTTATTCATTCATCATTTGATGGATATTCGGGTTGTTTCCACCTTTTGGCTATTATAAGTAATGCTGCCATGAACATTTGTGTACAAGTTTTTTGTGGCCATATGTTTTTAGTTATCTTGGCTAGATACCTACTGGTGGAATTGCTGGGTCATATGGTAACTCCATTTTTAATTGTTTGAGGAACTGCAAGACTGTTTTTCAAAGTGGCTGCAGTATATTGCATTCCAATCAGCCATGTACAAGAGTTCTGATTTCTCTACCTCCTAGCCACCACTTGTTATTATCTGACTTTTTGGTCTAACATCCTAGTAATATGAAGCAGTAGCACATCGTGGTTTGGTTTGCATTTTGATGACTAATGATGTCAAACATCTTTTCATGTGCTTGGTGGCCATTTGTATATCTTCCTGGGATAAATTTTGACAAGAATTTTTCGAAGACCTGGATGTGGGACAGTTCAGTAGCCTGCACTTTAGTGAAGTTATATCTGTGCTAATTACTTTTAGATGCCAGTTCTAAGAAAAGCTAGGGAAGGGGAAATAAAGACAATTGAAAGGGGTAGGGAGAATGGAAATTAGAGTTAATGAAGAGTTGGGAGAATGTAAGTGGCTTAGTGAGTATATTACAGCAGCAAATGACAGAGCAACTGACACAGTAGAGAGGGTAGTGGCAGTACAGGGGCTTAACCCAGAGATGGCATGAATCAACCTTAAAGGGAGAGGTGAGTATTTCTGTGATGTTTATGCTGAGGAAATTTTGAAAGATCATATTTATATATGCAAGCTCAGAAGCTTGCAGGGCTATTGTGAAAATCACATTAAATGCCAACAATTATAAAAATATTCTGCTCATAGAAGGTGCTCCATCCATTAGGTTTTATCAGTCAGGATACAGTATTAGTAGAAATTCAATCCCATTCCTATATTATCTACATTTAAAGCCCAGAAAACAATGTAATATTAATGATGAGTCCAAAGGATTAACAAAAAGATTAATTTTGTGTTGAGGGCTGTTTTCTTTTTTATTACAGCTCTATTGAGGTATAATTGGTAGATAAAAACTGCACATCTTTAATGTACACAATTTGATGGATTTGGACATGTACATATACCCATTATATCATCACCAGAATAATGGTAATACATCCATCCATCACCTCCAAAAGTTTCCTGTGTCCCTTGTTGTTTTTTTTTTTTTGTGGTAATAACACTTACCATGGACCAGAAAGATATTATGATAATTGAAATAAGTAAGTTACAGAAGGACAAATACTACATAACTCTGCTTATATGAGATATTTTAAACAGTCAAATTTATAGAAGCAGAAATTAGAATAGTGGTAGTTAGTGGATAGGGAAAATAGATATTGTTCAATGGGTAGAAAGTTAAAGTTAGCAATATAAATGAGTTCTGGGTACCTGTTGTACAACATGGTACCTACGGTTAATAATACAGATGGATGCATGTAGGGGTGTTTTTTTAAAAGCATTATGGTTACACATATTTTGGAATGGTTTTGTATTTTAAAAACCCATACAGTAAAAGTTTTAGAGCTCAATTTATCAGAGTATATATAAAAATACAGTCTTCCAATTTATTCACACATAGAGGATAATAGAATCTCAATTTTGGAGGGGACCATAAAGATCATTAGTCTAACCCACTGTCTGAACCTTTAGTCAATCATGTTGATGCAGAATATTTGAGGGACTTTTGTAATTTGCAGGTGCTACCTATGTTATCTCATGATTTCTTTCATGGAACCTGACAAATTTTTACAGTAGTTTGTTTGCTATATGTTATGTTCATTGGTCTTTATGGGATACCAATTATCTAATTGTCATATAACAGCAATACTATATTTAAAAACCAAATGTAACAAATTATTGATTGCTACTTGTTAGTAAGTTTATTCTTCTATACCTAAAGATGTTATTCATTTCATTTCATATGAAATTTCTTCCTTATGTAGCTCAAATGAGCTCATGATTTTTTTCATGGAATCTGACAAATTTTACAGTAGTTTTGCTTGCTGTAATATACGTTATGTTCATTGGT